>NC_000006.12:12635757-12787272 GCF_000001405.40 Homo sapiens
CATGTCCTGTGTAATACTTGGGACATAATATATACTTAAACAAGTATGTGTTGTTTATTTGAAATTCAAATTTGTCTGGGCATTTTGTATTTTATCTGGCAACCCTACTGCTCAGCCCAGTCACAGCATTAAATTCTTCTCAACACAAGCATGCAGTCAGTATAAATCAACTGCTGTTGACATGTGAGTTGATGTCTCTTTGACATTTCACATTCCACAACGGAGCTTAACTGGTGGGGTCCAAATCTTACAAAACAGGCCTTGCTTATCTCCAGCTCTTGCTTGATTAGTTTTGGATGTTAGCCTGGGTCTGGCAGAATCTCCTCCCCTCCTTTCCAGGAGCACGGCTCTTGTACAGGAGGAGTGCTGTGAGTCACTCTAGAACTTTCATCAATCTGGGTTCATCTCACCACCTCTCCAATAAATTCTCCAAAGCTAGTGCAAATTCGATAGTGCCTTTCCTACTTTCCAATGGCCATGCGGGTTTTTTCTTTCTTATTTTGAAGGAATTTGGGGAAAAAGAGTATTAGATGACTGTGTTGTAGTCATCTTCCCATCTTATCTGAAAAGTCAAGATAATTTTCTTGATCTGAAACAAAATAAATCCTTGCACGTGGTTAAATGTCCATGTTCCACCATGAACTTTAATACTCATATAAGCCCAACTGTGAAACTCATACATCGGTTCGTCAATATTTTTATGGCTGGGTTCTTCTTCTGGTTGTAACAACACAAAGATTTTAGAAAGGGCAATCCTGAAAGAAATTGCCCCCTGCTGTCTATTTTGAGTATGGGGCAATGTGCAGACACTGAGATTTGCAAACAAGTATCATTAAATAGAACCCTGTAGAGAAACACAAATGGAACTTTGGAAATGTGATATTAAGATAATTTCTTATTTCAACATTCACTGACATCAAACTTCAAATAAGAATCCATTAAGAATAAAAATCAGATAATTTAGGTAGCACTTCAAAAACGATCATATATGGCCTCTTTCCTTCTCTTCCTTTATCTTTTCCTCTCCATGGATGATATATGACAAAAAAGGAACATTCTGTAGCATTAAATCAGATTTCAAAGTCATTATTATGATTATATGCACATCAGTAGTACTTGCCCTACTTTTGCTTAAATCATGGAGATTATGAGAAAAGCATTCCTTTGGGGAATTTAGTTTGTTTCCCAGCTTTTATAGATATTTCATTTGAGAAAAATTTGAACTCTATCTGGGTATTCAGGATTCATGCTTTCATCTGTAAATTTCAGTGACTACTAACACCACCTGGCCAAACCGATTATGAAGCTCTAAATATGATCTGAAATTTCAAATTCAATTCATTTTCAGTTCAAAAAGTATGTTGTTAATGATGCCTTACTGTTCCTGCAGTAAGAAGGCTGCTTTTCTTTTTTTGTATAGAAAATAGCTTTGATTATTTTAAGTTTTATATGTGATACATATTAAAAGTATAAACTAAAATATATAAAATGGTATAAAGAAAATATTTTAAAAATTACCTTTAATTACAACACTATGAGATAAATAGCCCCATTATGTTGATTTATTCTTTACTTCTGTTCCTGGATAGAAACATAAGTGGGAATATATTTTATGAGCACAAAGATACAATCAAAAGAATTGACTTTTTTTTAGGTGTAGTGAGCTTTAGCCCTTTATTTGAATTCCTTTTTCATATTTAAAGCCACCTTATAAAGTATGTACTATCAATAAATTTCCTATTTAGAGATAAAAAAATTGAGGACAGAAAAGGTCAGATTGCCCAAACTCATATGACAGCAAGTGGAGAAGCCAGAATTTGAAACAAGGCCGTTTGACTCCAGAGCTCATGATACAGTACATGAAGTTTAATGGACATGCATTTTATCACCTAATGATATACTATAGATACCTTGCCATATTGATATATATCAAAATACATACATCCTTTTTATGGCAACATAGTATTCCATTAGGTGGCCAAACCATAGTTTACATAAACAGTCTCTTTACTTCACAATGGAATACATTTTTTTCGCCACTATAATATTACTTTGGGAAAAAAAAGAACCCTTGCAATTATCTTCGCTAATTTTTTTTACTACTTGTTTAGGATAAATTCCTAAAAGTAGGATTTGGTAGTTCAATTTAATTTTTTGGCACACATTGCCAAAATGCACTTCCTGAAGATTAAACCAACCTACTCTCCTACAAACAGCACATTAGAATAACTTTTCCACACTCGCTCCCTTTAGAAAGATAATTCTCAAAGTCTCACATTCCAAGACACTTTGAAAGCAAAAAATCTCTTTCCATAGTGAGTCATCACTGTAATTTGCATACCACAGTGAATCATCACTGTAATTTGCATATGGCCAAACTTCTTTAAAGACTGTGATACCCTGTCTAGGCACCAATGCTTCTCCGTGAAACAGCTTCCCAGGGTCAATTTTCCCTGTGGTGGCCAGCAGGCGGTGCTCACACACAGATTAGAAAGACCTCTGTGGTCACTGATTCTCTAACGCAAAAAACTTCATTCACATCACCTCAAACCCTTGGACAACACTACGTGGCCTGTGAAAACCACCTGATTGCTCGAACCTTACATTATGGTTTAGTCAATACTCTCTGAAATTCAGGTTCTTATTCTTATACCAATATCTTAGGAAGAGTCATGTGAGCAATGTCCAAATATTCTTGACTATGAGTGAGGTCCATGTATACACACTACCAGTAGCTCCCTAAGACCCAGGCAGGTAAGCTTTTAAGTATCCAATCTTAAACATGTATCATAACCTTAACCACCAACTCCATATCTATACTCCTTGCCTATAAGAAGTGGCATATGCCAAAACACCACCTCATGCGCTCTCTTTTCTGTATTTTACTTTCCTTCAACTATTACGTATTTCTTATTTTAAGGTAGATTATATATGTTATTTGTTGCAAGGCTGAGGCAGGTAAAAGTTTCTCCATGTTTTCCTTTCTAGTAGAGTCCAGTCTATTTTTCTTTTATGGTTTCATATATGGAATAATCATACTGCCTTGTGCTTAATACAGAAAATTTTCAAATTCCTGTATAGTTTGGTTGCTAACATCTTGAAAAGCAGAATTCAAATTAAAAATTGACTACACAAAAATAGAAATTTTTGGTATTTTAATTGTTAAATTTGGTCTGAACAACCAAAATACCAGGAAAAAAAATCTGAGAAAAATATTTAAAACCAATATGACCCACAAACAGTGATGTCCTTAAGAGATAAGGAAGCACATATATCTATTAAAAATAAAATACTGGGTCAGGCATGGTGGCTCATACCTGTAATCCCAGCACTTTGGGAGGCACAAATGGGAGGATCTCTTGAATCCAGAAGGTCAAGGCTACAGTGAACTGTGATTGTGCCACTGCACTCCACCTTGGGTGACAGAGCCAGACTCTGTCTCAAAATTAATAAAATTATGACAGAAAAAAAATGGACGTGGTGCCTGAACAGAATTTATAGAAACATAAGTAACTATAAACATATTTTAAGAAAAAATGTAATCTAATTACTTATAGAAAAAAATGCAAATTAAAATGACCTTTGTTCAAATGAGAAAAGACTAATTCAGTAATTAGCAATTATGCTTAGGATATGGCAAAGATCAAAGTCGTGCTTTACATATGGTTAGTAGAAATAGATCATCATTCTAGGAAAAAATTTTACAAAGCATAGCAAGGAGACAGGGAGGGGAACATCACACACCAGGGCCTGTCGGGGGGTGGGGGGCTAGGGGAGGGATAGCATTATGAGAAATACCTGATGTAAATGACGGGTTGATGGGTGCAGCAAACCACCATGGCACGTGTATACCTATGTAACAAACCTGCATGTACTGCACATGTACCCCAGAACTTAAAGTATAATAAAAAAATGTAATACCCTTTGACTAGTAATATGGCTCTGGAAATTACTGGAAGCTTAGTCAAAGAATATATACGAAAAGTTTATTCTGGCATTCTTTATTCTAACAATAAATTATATGCCCCCAAATATCCAATAATGCCACATAAACTTTAATGTTCATATATATCAGAAGGAAAAGGAAATGAAAATATATCATATCTTCTGTATTTGTTTTCTCTGGGTATTGGGTCACAGTTTTTGTTTTTAATTTTACATTTTGTTTCTCATACTTTGTAAAAAAGATTGTATTACTTTTACAATCAGAAAAAAACATTTCAAAAATCAACTTGAGTCATAATTATCGTACAACAAAATGTATACAATCTAAGTGTAGAATTTAGTGACTTTTGACAAACGATATCCTGATGTAACAATCGTGTGACACCCATCACAATCGAGATATAGAATATTTGCAGTCAAATTTCATCACTTCAAACCCCATCAACACATGGGCAATATTCTGTCACTATAGACCAGTTTAGATTTTCCTAAAATTTAATGTAAATGAAATTATACAATATATAATCTTTTTTGCTTATCTTCTTTCCCTCAGCATAATGTTTTTGAGATTTAAACAGGATGATGCATAGGTTAATAGTTTGTTCCTTTTTATTGTTGAGAAGTGTTGATTTTAACATAAGTAACAATTTGTTTATCTAATCAACTGATGATGGACATTTGGGTTGTTTCCTGTTTAGAGTAATTACAAATAAAGCTTCTAATTACATTCGTGTAAAATTCTTCCTGTAAACTTATGCTTTAGTTTGTCTTAGGTACATACAGTGGAGTAAAATTTCTGGCTAGCACTGTAAAACAATATTTAAATTTATAACAAAACATCAAATTCTGTTCCAATGTAATTATACCAATTTACCTTCCCAACAGCAATGCATGAAAGTTTCAGATGTTCCAGATTCTCACCAACACTTGGTATTGTCAGCCTTTTTAATTTTAGCTATCCTGGTGGTGAGGAATGGGATCTCTTAGTTTTTATTTCCCTGGTGACTAATGATGTTGAGCTACTTTCATGTGCTTATTGACCATCTGTATACACTTTTTTTGGCGAAGAATCTGCTAAAATCTTTTCCCTATTTGTACCTGGTATGTTCAAAAACTTTTTATTGAGTTGTAAGAGTACACTGTAAGTTCTAAAGTCCTTTGTCAGATATATGTATTGTGAATTTTTTCCTAGCATATGACTTGACTTCTCATTTTTCTTAACAGTTTCTTTTGAAGAGCATTTTTGAATTTTAATGTCATGTAATTTATTAATTTTTTCTTTTATAGTTTATGTTTTTGGTATCATATTTAAGAAATATCTTCTTCCTACAAGGGAAGAAGATATACTTCTATGCTTTCTGTTTAAAGTACCATACTTTCAGCTTTTATGTTTATGTGAATGTCTGTTTCTGTTCATTTTTATATATATATTGTGAGGTGATTTGAAGATTCAATTTTTTATGTGGATATCTAACTGTTCTGGTGCCATTTGTTGAAAAGACAAGTTTTTCACCAGTTAATTATCCTGAAATGTTTGTTAAAAGTCAACCACCTGGCTGGGTGCAGTGGCTCATGCCTGTAATCCCAGCATTTTGGGAGGCCAAGGGGGGTGGATCATGAGGTCAGGAGATCGAGACCATTCTGGCCAACGTGGTGAAACTCTGTCTCTACTAAAAAAAAAATACAAAAATTAGCTGGGCATGGTGGTGCATGCCTGTAATCCCAACTACTTGGGAGGCTGAGGCAGGAGAATGGCATGAACCCAGGAGTCAGAGGTTGCAGTGAGCCGAGACTGCGCCACTGCACTCCAGCCTGGCGACAGAGCGAGACTCCATTAAAAAAAAAAAAAATCAACCACCTGTAAATGTAACAGTCCACTTCTTTTTTTTCTTTCTTTCTTTTTTTGTATTTCTACATTGCATTGAACAAGAGCTTTTCATTTTTTTAAATTTTACTTCAAGTTCTGGGGCACATGTGCAGAATGTGCCAGTTTGTTACATAGGTATACATATGCCACGGTGGTTTGCTGCACCCATCAACCTGTCATTTACATTAGGTATTTCTCCTATTGCTATCCCATCCCCCACCCCCCACCCCCTGACAAGCCCTGGTGTGTGATGTTCCCCTACCTGTGTCCATGTGTTCTCATTGTTCAACTCCCACTTATGAGTAAGAACATGCCATTTTTGGTTTTCTGTTCTTGTGTTAGTTTGCTGAGAATGATGGTTTCCAGCTTCATCCATGTCCCTGCAAAGGACATGAACTCATCCTTTTTCATGGCTGCATAGTATTCTGTGATGTTTACATGCCACATTTTCTTTATCCAATCTATGATTGATGGGCATTTGGGTTGGTTCCAAGTCTTTGCTATTGTGAACAGCGCTGCAATAAACATACGTATGCATGTGTCTTTATAGTAGAATGATTTATAATCCTTTGGGTATATACCCAGTAATGGGATTGCTGGGTGAAATGGTATTTTTAGTTCTAGATCCTTGAGGAATCACCACATTGTTTTCCACAGTTGTTGAACTAATTTACACTCCCACCAACAGTGTAAAAGCATTTCTATTTCTCCATATACTCTAAAACATCTGTTGTTTCCTGAACAGTCCACTTCTTGATCAGCTATTTTTTGTATTGACCTATATATCTATCCTTACAGCAGGAATCATCAACTCTAATGAACTTCAAATTTTGGCTGTCTGTCACATTGGAAAAGTGAACAGATTACTTGCTACAGATGACACTATTAGAATCAAGCGGAGAATATTACTGGGGGAAAGGGACAGATTGTTGTAATGCACGTTCATCTATTGACTGTATTTATGGAATAGTCCTCTCTTTACAGCAGTGAGCTCCCATCACTGGAAGTGTTCAAGCCAATGTCAGATCATCATTTAGCAATAATGTTCTGTAAAAGAGTCCTTGTCTCTGTTTGCAGATGACATGTCTCTGTTTGCAGATGACATGATTGTATATTTAGAAAACCCTGTCATCTCAGCCCAAAATCTCCATAAGCTGATAAGCAACTTCAGCAAAGTCTCAGGATACAAAATCAGTGTGCAAAAATCACAAGTATTCCTATACACCAGTAATAGACAAACAGAGAGCCAAATCATGAGTGAACTCCCATTCACAATTGCTACAGAGAGAATAAAATAAACTTGGGAATGTAACTTACAAGGGATGTGAAGGACCTCTTCACGGAGAACTACAAACCACTGCTCAATGAAATAAAAGAGGACACAAACAAATGAAAGAACATTCCATGCTCATGGATAGGAAGAATCAATATCATGAAAATGACCATACTGCCCAAAGTAATTTATAGATTCAATGCTATGCCCATCAAGCTACCATTGACTCTCTTCACAGAATTACAAAAAAACTACTTTAAATTTCATATGGAACCAAAAAAGAGCCCATATAGCCAAGACAATCCTAAGCAAAAAGAACAAAGCTGGAGGCATCACACTACCTGACTTCAAACTATACCACAAGGCTACAGTAACCAAAACAGCATGGTACTGGTATCATAACAGATATATAGACCAATGGAACAGAACAGAGACCTCAGAAATAATGCCACACATCTACAACCATCTGATCTTTGAGAAACCTGACAAAAACAAGCAATGGGGAAAGGATTCCCTATTTAATAAATTGTGTTGGGAACACTAGCTATCCATATGCAGAAAACTGAAACTGGATGCCTTCCTTACACCTTATACAAAAATTAACCCGAGATGGATTAAAGACTTAAATGTCAAACCCCAAACCATAAAAACCCTAGAAGAAAACCTAGGCAATACCATTCAGGACACAGGCATGGGCAAAGACTTCATGACTGAAACACCAAAAGCAATGGCAACAAAAGCCAAAACTGACAAATGGGATCAAATTAAACTAAAGAGCTTCTGCACAGCAAAAGAAACTGTCATCAGAGTGAATAGGCAACCTATAGAATGGGAGAAAATTTTTGCAATCTATCCATCTGACAAAGGGCTAATACCCAGAATCTACAAGGAACTTAAACAAATCTGCAAGTAAAAAACAACCCCATCAAAAAGCGGGCAAAGGATATGAACAGACACTTCTCAAAAGAAGACATTTTTGCAGCCAAAAAACATATGAAAACATGCTCATCATCACTGGTCATTAGACAAATGCAAATCAAAGCCACAATGAGATACCATCTCATGCCAGTTAGAATGGTGATCATTAAAAAGTCAGGAAACAACAGATGCTGGAGAGGATGTAGAGAAATAGGAATGCTTTTACACTGTTAGAGGGAGTGTAAATTAGTTCAACAATTGTGGAAGACAGTGTGGCAATTCCTCAAGGATCTAGCACCAGAAATACCATTTGACCCAGCAATCCCATTACTGGGTATATACTCAAAGGATTATAAATCATTCTACTATAAACACACATGCACACGTATGTTTACTGCAGCGCTGTTCACAATAGCAAAGACTTGGAACCAACCCAAATGCCCATCAATGATAGACTGGATAAAGAAAATGTGGCGTATAAACACCATGGAATACTATGCAGCCATAAAAAAGGATGAGTTCATGTCCTTTGCAGGGACATGGATGAAGCTGGAAACCATCATTCTCAGCAAACTAACATAGGAACAGAAAACCAAATACTGCATGTTCTCACTCATAAGTGGGAGTTGAACAGAGAGAATACATGGACACAGGGAGGGAAACATCACACATCGGGGCCTGTTGGGCAGTAGGGGGCTAGGGGAGGGACAACATTAGGAGAAATATCTAATGTAGATGACAAGTTGATGGGCACAGCAAACCACCATGGTACATGCATACCTATGTAACAAACCTGCATGTTCTGCACATGTATCCCAGAACTTAAAGTATAACAGTAATAATAATAATAATAATAAAAGATTCCTGCAATGGCTCATTTGTCTAGAGGGGCTGCAAAATCCCTTCTAGCTCTGCAAGTTCGTGATTCGGTGGAAAGCTTGCAAGAACTTAGTAGAACACTTGAAAACTTCCATCACAAAAAAAATTCACAGCTTCTCAAGCCAAAATAGCCTATGAATAGATCATGAATTTAAATACCAAAATAAAAGGAGAATCAAAGTTTACTTTTTTTTGTCATCTCTGCTAGTGAAAAAAACAATCTTCCAACTCCAGAGGCACTAAGTGCCTCGCTGCAGAATAATACAAAGAAAGAGATAAAATAGCTTGAAGAAAAGAGGTACATTTTTTTCCCCTGCAAACAGAATTAACTAGGTCCCACAGGTCCAAGGCTGGAGGGAAATTAGGCCATGATATAGGAAATCAGACTATAAATAGAAACTTTAAAATACAGAAAAACTATAGCATCACTGTATTTATTACTTTGTAGCATGATGCATGTTAATTAGCACCAAATGCATCCATTGCACACAAGCTCTTCACAGTGAAACTCCTCTTTTATCATGTCTTCTCACTGTATTTTGAAATCATATATCAATGCAACACAAAATATTAAATAATAATTTATTATACCATTTTGTATGCATCAAGGACCTTTATAAGTGATGGTCAGAGCTTCTGATTGGCTTGAGAGGTGAAATTGACAGAATTCCTCCTAGCTCATGTCTTAGTTCATAACTAAGAACAATACAATTAATTGCACTATGACCCCAATTCTTTACCTCTCCTTGAACCCACACACTTTGTCAAGTGACTTTGGACCTCCTCCTGTAAAGACAGAGTATTTCTCCATTCCATGTGCCTGGCTTTGACCTCTGGAATAAGTGGACATGGCAGTGGGCTAGTTCTATGCCTGGTACTGCAGGGGCTTTGCAAGTGTTTGCTTGCTGCCTCTTGTATCCCTGCCATCAACATAAGAACATGCCCACTGATACGGTTTGGCTCTGTGTCCACACTCAAATTTCATGTTGAATTGTGATCCCTAGTGTTGGAGTTGGGGCCTGGTCGGAGGTGATTGGATCATGGGGGTAGTTTCTGATGGTTTAGCAGCTTCCCCCAAGTGCTGTCTCCTAATAGAGTTCTCAGGAGATCTGGTTTTTTGAAAGTGTGTAGCACCTCCCTCGTAGCTTTCTCTCTTTCTCCAGCTCCTGCCACGTAAAATGTCCTTGTTTCCCTTTTGCCTTCCACCATGATTGTAAGTTTTCTGAGGCCTCCCCAACCATGCTACCAATACAGAGTATGGAACTGCCAGTCAATTAAACCTCTTATCTTTATAAATTACCCAGCCTCAGGCAGTTCTTTATAGCAATACAATAATGGACTAATACATCCATGCTAGTCCTCTGGAAGATAAGAGACCTATCCACCACACCTGAGTTGCCCGTTATCTCAGTCACGGCAAGCCTAGACCAGCCAACTCCCAATGCATGAGTGAGCTCGGACAAGATGAGCAAGACTCCTGGTTAACCTAAGGCTGACTCCATAGGGTAAACACATCTCTATGAAATAACAGAGCTAGACGGTTGTTTGTTTGTGATATGGCTGTTTGCCAATAAGTAACTGGTACAATTTTCTTGTGAGCTTTCCTGCAGATGATGTAATATACCCATCACACTTTTAAACACATTGAAAATACTCCCTGAACTTCTTTTGTTTCCTTGCATGTCATTAGAACCTTGGGCACCCTAGCTTGCAGACAGACTTCTTCTGTAAGTGTGATCACAACCATTGTTACAAATAGACTGCACAGTCTGTCAGGTGTGAGTCTCTAAAACACAAAGCAGACATGGCTACCTTCAAATGCTGTCAGACTTATTTTTAGAGTCTCCAAAATCAATTTCTAAGTGAAATCCATTCATCCAATAAACTTGGATTCATTAATATGTGTGTAGGTATGTGTGTATATGCCCTTGAAATACTTTTAAAAGGATAATACACTAGTCTGCAAAGAAAATGAATCGATAAATTTTAAGAAATTAAATTATACATGCTGTTTTCTCCTATCTTATACATTAACACCAGAAATGTATAAAAAGGTTAAACCAAAAGCATCAAATTACTTTAAAACTCCCTTTTAAAATATTTTTATGTCAAACAGAAAATAATTCTCAAAAACTCTTAGTGAGCTAGGCTTACCACTGTATTTCATAAACGAAGAGCTTTTAGCCTGAAAGCAGAAGCCACATCATACTTCATGAGGAAATACTTGTTCTGTCACACTTAGATCAGAAATAGATAAGCAAAATGTATAATGATAGCAGCATTATTTATCAATAGTCTAGAAGTGAGAAATCATATGATAAAACAAACAAAAGAAGAAAGACATCAGAAAAAATACGTTTATCACTATTTGAAAGTAATACAATTTTCAATGTAACATATTCAAGAATATCAATAAAATTATTCAAAGTTTTTAAAAGTTATATAAGGTAGCTGATTAAAGCACAGACGAAAATCAGTTGACATCAGACATCCAGCACAACATTTCAATATATAATTAGGAATTGATTGAAATCATCTGGAAAAAATACACCTTTACCCAACCAACACTTTGGTATTCAAAATATGAAGAAATGATATTTAGTAGATAAATTTGTAAGGACTTGAATATAAGGCAATGCCCTTTTTATTGGGTGATAATTTGGGAGAATTGCTATTTAATATTTGGAGATATATAATATATATAAAATTATACATGTAATACATATAATAAAAACATATATTTATTTTATATATTTATATATACCAGCTTGTAGATATTTATACAACTTCAAACAACCATATTCTTATACATGTAATAGGAAAAATAGTCTGTTTTTCAGAACAAATAATAAATGACTGTCAGATGGACAGACGGATGAATATAGATGTGAATATAGATTTTTTTAACAACTAAAATTAATTTTTATAATAAGGAAACACTGTTGAGAGAATGTTAAAAATAGGTGTGGAGAAAACCTTGGGATAAATTAAGACTTGCTTGAAGGCTAGTTTTTTTTTTTATTTGTATTTGTATTTATTTTAAACAGGATCTCACTCTGTCTCCCATGCTGGGGTGCAATGGTGCTTTCACTGCTCACTCCAGCCTCAACCTCCCAGGCTCAAGTGATCCTCCCACCTTAGCCTCCCAAGTAGCTGAGACTACAGGTGCACACCACCACACCTGGCTAGTTTTTTTGTTGGTGGTGGTATTTGTTTTTTCAGTAGAGATAAGATCTCACTGTTTCCCAGGCTGGTCTCAAATTACTGAGCTCAAGCAATCCTCCTGCTTTAACCTCCCAAAATGCTGGGATTATAGACATGAGCCACTGTGCCCACACCAAGGGCTGGTCTTCTGTTGGTTGGTGCTAAGAAGACTAGTAGAATTTAGGCGGGGCAGTACAAGCACTACTAAGTAAAAAGTTGGGTTTTAAATTGTAACTTAGTACTATGCATAATATGTCATGCATATCATCAACTAATCAATAGAAAACAAAAAGAGCTATAAATATATAACAGTTATCAACATTACAATTTGTACTGATTGCAAAGTAATTTGTCTCTGTGATTGTACTAATCTTATATAATTATTTCAAATAGCTAGTGATACTAGAAAACACCACAATAAAACATTGAATTGGTTTTAAACATGCCTGTAGCTATGACAAACACACTGTGCACACTCTTTTTGTTTACTTTGCAGGGGAATGTTATTTTACTTCTGGTCTCTATTCTCTTCCCATGAGTTTTATTCTTGAGTTGCGTAAGAATGATTTCTCAGTGAAAAGCAATTCTACTTTACACCATGAATACAACAATGCTCTAGCAATATATGCGAGGGAGGTAAGATTCGTGCGTCAAAACCACAGATGGATGGCTAGGAGTTCATCTTCTCTTCCTTCTTCAACCTACTGTCTGGTAGAGGTGTTAATGAACAGTGAAATGACCATATGCTTAGTGCAGTTCAGAAATACATAAAGAGAAAAGAAACAGAGATTGGGTATTCCTGAAAGCTCAAGTGTTTGCTAGACCTTAAAGGCAAGCAGGTAGAAAATAAATAACAGATATCAATCATTAAGTCACAAACAAAAATAGCATAACTATATGAGAAGCAGATCCACCTCACCAATGATGAAGAGTATCTGCCAAAACTTAAATGCAAAAGTCTAACACAGTGTAATATTTCCTCTAGGAATTTAGGCCATAAAATACTTCTAGAAATACTATGCAAAGATATTCCTGTCTGTGTAAGTACTTATGGAAGTATTTCTATGTGTGCATATGTATGTGCATTTGTATATCTTTGCACACTTCTCTGGAAATACATATATTCATACTAGCATTATTAATAAAAAATTACAAATAACCTTTAACTTAAATAACAATTGATACTTGCTGAACTGAACAGTGCCAACTATAGTAAGTGTTAAACTAATATGTAGTGTTGTTTTGATATTGGCGAAATTTATTTTGTTCTTTTTTTTTTATCTCCCTCAATAGAAGATTTGTTCAATCAATTGTGGACATTGATATATCAGAACACCCTTCAGCAATCAAAAAGAACAATCTAGGTTTACATTTGCTGACATTGAAAGATACATTGTTCCAAAAAGAAAATGCAAATTTCTTAATGGTGTATGTAGTATCATCTTATTTTTCTTTTAAAAGTCAAGGAAAAGTAAAGCTGAGGAAAATACTTGGAAAAGAGATTTTGCATTTCAATATTGTCATCTTTTTTAAACAAGCAAGAATTATTTTGTTCTTCTGGCCTGATTTTACATTTCCTCTTTGTTTTCCATAGTTTTAGTATGACAGGCCTAGGTATAACGTGTTTTGTATTTCATCTGCTTAGAGATCTTAGCACTTCTTGAATCTGTAGCTTGATGTCTTTCATCAATTTTGGAAAATTCTCAACCATTACCTCTTCAACTATCATCCCTGTCTCTTTCTTTCTCCTCTGTCACAGTGATTACACATATTTTAGACTTTTTCACCATGTTCCATGTGTCTTGCTCTTTTCTGTGTTTCTATCCTTTTAGTTTTTTGTGCTTTGGTCTGGATATTTTCTTCTGACTAATCCTCAACTCAAAAAAATTCAAGGAAAAACAATCATAAATAAAACCATCTAAGATAACAGGATCTCTACAAAGACAAGAAAAATCATAATCACTTATTTGTGGGCGCTACATGCTTAATGAAGTATCCCCGAGAACCTATGAAGATAACTGAGAACATCCCCCACATAGAAGGAGTAAACTCTGAAACAGGACACTTGAGACAATCTTAGAAGTGAGAAGAGAGTCTTTGCCATTTAATAAAGTCTGCAGTAGAAGTCTCTCCATCACTTCCAATGTTTGTCCCCCATCTAGTGTCCACAAACTCAGAAAAGCAAATGAAACCAAAATCCCCCTGCTTCAAAGTGTGAGTCAAGGGGAAGACACATTCTTACACTGCTATCAGATAAATTAGAAGTATCATTAGTGAGTGTTAATTCATACTGTATTAGAAAAATTCAAGCGTAGACAGAGTGGCCCACCTTAACATGAACAAAAGAAAAGAAAAGAACAACAATAAAAGAAAGTACAAACCAAAGAACAGACAAAAATTCCTAGTGGGTGCCTCATGTCATAGAAAAGTTCTAGAAGAATATGCATTTAATATGTTAAGTACTCAGAGTTAAAATAATAACACCATATAGTAAGAGGAAATGTGAATGCTCTTTCCAGCCAATAAAACAAATTGAGAGCCAAAAAGTTTACCCTTACCTAGCAAATAAAGAAATAAAGTAAAAATGTTAAGGAATAGATTAAGTATGACTGCAAATTAAATTCCTGGTGAAGGGGAAAGCCTTTGAACATAATGAATGCTAAGGAAACAGGCAAACAGATAAGGCAACTAGAAAAATGATAAGAGATATAAAAGAGAGACAAACACAATCCATCATCAAGATAGTTCCTATCCCTAGGTAGAAAACAACTAACAAAATACGACAAAAATATGTTTAAAGGTATATTTAAATACATGCAAATAATTTTTTTGAATACACGCAAATAATTTTTTTAATCCTAATGCCCCACTATAATCACAGAATAATAACAACTATTATTATTATTATTCAGTAATAATAATGCTATGCCAGAGGGAACAAAGATGAGAAAAATAAAACAAAATTTCAGAAGCTGAAAAGCAAATGCATCAATGATAACTAATTTGGCAAGTACCAGAAATACAGACCTCAAGGCTGCAACTGGGAGAGTTGAGGTTCAACACAGTTTACTTCACAGAATTCCCACAAGGTGCATGAAGTGGCAGCCTCACATCCCTCTAGAATTGGAGGCAAAATGGAAGAGATGCCAAAATCAAGAGGATGACTGACAGAGCTGTTTGCAAAGAAGATATACAAATGGTCAACAATCACAAGAAAAGAGACTCAACATTAGCAGCCGTCAGGGAAATGCAAATCAAAAACCACAATTAGATACCACTTCACACCACTTAGATGTATATAGTCGAAAAGACAGACAATACCAGCCATCCAAGAGGATATAAAGAAATTGGAACCCTTATACATTGTTGATGGGAATGTAAAATAGTACAGCTGCTTTGGAAAACAGTCTGGCAGTTCATCAAAAGTTAAACATAGTTATTTTATGACCCAGCAGTTCCACTCCTAGGTATATATCCAAGAAAACTGAAAGTATATGTCCACACAAAACTTGTACACAAATAATACATTATTCACAATACTGAAAATATGGAAACCCACTGTCCATCAACTGATGAATGGATAAGCAAAATGTGGTAAGGCAATAAAAAGGAATAAAGTACTGGTACATACTACGACATGGATAAATCTAGAAAGTGTCATGCTTGTAAAAGAAGCCAGTCACAAAAGGTTACAGATCGTATGATCCCATTTATATGAAATGGCCAGAAAAGACAAATCCACAGAAACAGAAGGTAGATTAGTAGGCTCTTAGGGCTGGAGGTTGTGGTGGGGGTAGGAATTGGGAAAATAAGAACTTAGTGCTAATAGGTATGGGCTTTCTTTTTGTGGCCATGAAAATATTCCAAATTTAATAGTGGTGACAGTTTCACAACCGTTTGAATGTATTAAAAATCATCTCATTGTACTTTAAGTGAATTGTATAGCATGTGAATTATATTTCATTTAAGTTGTTCTTTTTTAAAAAATGATTTGTTTGATAGGTACAGCAAACCACCATGGCACGTGTATACCTATGTAACAAACCAGCAGGTTCTGTGCATGTATCCCAGAACTTAAAGCATAATTTAAAAAAAGTTTAAAAAACTATTAGAAGAAAAAAAATGATTTGTTGATTTTCCAGAATAATGGATGAAAACAGATGCAACCAACCTTCATTGTTGTCCCTATTTCAAAATACCAAAGACAAAGACTAGATTTTGTAGACTTCCAAAGGGAGAAAAAGAGGTTCAACATCTGTTTTGAATTGGAAATCTGAATGGCATCAGACTTTCCAACAGCAATTATAAGCATGAAGAAAATACAGCAATTCCATCAATAACCTGCTAATCTAGAATTCAATTATTAGCCAAACTGTAAATCCAGTATGAGAGAGTAAGATGAAGACATTTCAGGCATGTAAAGTGTTAAAAAATTAACTTTGTGCACCCTTTGACAAGAAGCTGCAGGAGGATGTGCTCCTTGAAATGAGTGCATAAACCAAGAAAGAGGAAGACATAGGGACATGGAAAATAGATCATCCAATGAAGGAGAGAGACAAAGAGAATTCCCAGGGAATTCCAAGGAAGACGGAAAATCTCAGAATGATAGTTACGCTCTAGATTAGAAAGCAGCAGTCCAGTCTGAAGTAGTATGTCCCAAACGAATATACAGAAATCTTTCTTCACCAAGATCCCTACAGCCTTCAACCCAGAACACCTGGGTGAGCCCGCTCCAGATTCTGTGCCTTGGGTTGTTTCCCCACATGCTGCATAAATTCCTGCTGTCTCCTCCAAGCTCAATGCTGGGTCATGTTTTGACACATCTAAAGACTCTCATTTCAAACCACAAAAGGGAGCTTCATTCACCTTTACCTGGGAGCTAAAAGTATGCCATGATGAGGTGTTTTCATCAGAGTATCCATGGTTATGCTGTGTAACAAATTAACTCAAAACCTCAGCGACCTTTCACTCTTACACTGAACATCCAAAGTCTCTGAGGCACCCAGGTTGATAAGCATGCTTTCTTCTTCTTCTTTTTTTGTTTTTTGGAAACAGGTTCTTGCTCTGTCGCCCAGGCTGGGGTGCATGGCTGGCTAATTTTTTGTATCTTGTTGTAGAGATGGGGTCTCGCCATGTTGCCCAGGCTGATCTCAAACTCCTGAGCTCAAGCAATCTGCCAACCTCAGCCTGTCAAAGTGCTGGGAATACAGGAGTGAGCCACTGCACCAGGCCAAGCATGCTTATTCTTAATGTGCTGTTTCCACAATTGCTGTGGCAGTTTAGAAGAGAGTTAGCCAGTGGACCGGGCACGGTGGCTCAGGCCTGTAATCCTGGCACTTTGGGAGGCTGAGGCAGGTGGATCTTTTGAACTCAGGAGTTCGAGCCCAGCCTGGGCAACATGGCAAAGCAACATGGTGAAACACCATCTCTATTTAAAAAAAAAAAATACAAACAGTAGCTGGGCGTGATGGTGTACCTGTAGTCCCAGCTACTTGAGGGGTTGAGGTGGGAGGAATGCTTGAGCCCAGGAGGTTGAGGCTGCAGTGAGCCATGATCACGCCACTGCACTCTGGCCTGGGAGACAGAGCAAGATCTTGTTCCCCAGCAAAAAAAGAGAGAGAGAGAGAGAGAGAGTTAGCCTAGCATCAGCTTGTGATCTTTTACTCAGAAGTAACAATACATCTCCTGCACTCCCGGCACTTCAGCAAGAACCAGAAACATGGCCCCAACTAACTGCAAGGGCTCTAGGAAATGTGGCAGACCACATGAACAGATGGTGAGCAATCTATATCTCTGCTGCACAAGCTGAGAAGCAGAAAATACCGAGCAGCCCAATCCCTCATATTTTTGTCAGATACCCAGAATGTGGCCCACAGTTCATCTCCGCCAGACGCCCTACCTTGGCAAGCCCTGAGTTTCCCAGGACTCAGTCATGATCTCGCCCACTTACTTCCTCAGAGGAGGCTGCTGTTAATTCCAAGGGAAGCTGAAGCCAGAATATGACCCAGAGAATATTCAGCTATGTTTCCTTCATGCAGTGTGGGCCTTTCCTAACATAACTAGGCTTGTACTTGCTACTTAGATTTTTTTAAATTAAGGGCAGATAGGAGACAGAGAAGAAAAAGGGAGAGAGAGGGACTGGAAATTCATACATGGATTAAAAAAACTGTTTTTAAAAGCAAAGAAAGGCTAACACAAAAGTCAGAGCAGTGGTTGCCTCTGGTGGAGAGGGGAAATGATACAACTGGGAAAAGTTCTGGTAATATAGTCTATTTCCTAACCTGGGTAGTAGGGAATGAATGGAGGGTTGTTTTTTCTACTAATGTTCTGAAATCTATCTATCTGTCATCTACCTACCTATCTACCTACCTATCTATGTACCTACCTACCTATCTATCCACTCGCCTATCATCTATCTACCTACCTCTTGATCATTTATCTATCTACCTACCTATCTACCTACGTACCTATCATATATCTATCTATCTATCTACCTATGATCTATCTATTTATCTGTCTACCTACCTACCTATCATCTATCTACCTACCTATTATCTATCTACGTACCTATCTACCTATCATCTATCTATCTATCTATCTATCTATCCATCTATCTACCTACCTACCAATCTATCTAATCTACATGTGTTTTTTATGCAGTTTTCTGTTGTGCTTTACTAACCTTGCCCCTAAAAAGGCCTGGCCTTTGGGCAGCTTCTGAGAGGTAGGTAAGCTCTAATCCCTTAAAATGTCCTGCCTGGTAAGAGTATGTTTCTCTACCCAGGCCTAGGCCCAGACCAGACAGTCCATGCTAACAATGTGATTTATGGTGGTAGCCCAGGGCTAGAGATAGCAGCTTGACCTCTGGAGGAGCTGGAGCTGAAGGTCAGCCATGTGGGTGGTCGACCATGCCTGTATATGTCTCTGGACACAAGCACATAAATCCTGGGCAGCAGATCCTGGTTGAACTGCCTGTTTAGCAGTACCCATGCATGTTGACACACGTCATTGTTGGGACAGGTGAGCCGTGTCTGCACAGCTCCCATAGAGGAAGACAACTGGGAGCCCACCCCTGGTGTCTGGAACGCTGCCTCACATGCCCCTTCCTTTTGCTGCATTTAGTCTGTATCCTTTTGCCATAATAAACTGTTATTGTGAGTATAACAGCTTTGTTGAGTTCTGTGAGTCCTTCCAGTGAATCACTGAACCTGAAGGTGGCCTTAGAGACCCCTAAAATGCAGTTGTATATATCTTTCACAATTAATTTTTGAAAAGATCTAACAGAAGAAAATTTACCTAAATATAGGTAGCACTAAATCTACAGAACACAGGGACATTTTGTGTTCTGTGCAAGATTTCTATTAATAGAAGATCTGCATGAAGACAGGTCATAAAGAGGTTACTGAACATTAAGTGTAATGAGAGAAAAGAAATCTTTACTTATCCAAGGGAAATGCAATTCACTTACAGAAAGGAAAAATAACTGCCATTAAATTCCAGGAAGTAATACAAAAACACATATAAAAATCTGCAGAAAAGTATTACTGAAGAATATAATATTCAGCTTAAATTATTGCTCAGGTACTAAACTAACAGACATTCTTGGTCAGGAAACAATCAGAGGAGAGCGTACCCATGAGCCTTTGATGAAAGCAGTGACTCCAAAGTGAAATCCATGTGAAATCAATCAAAAGATGAATCAAAATAAAGGTCTCAGAAAAGTGCACACTGACCTCAAACCATGAGTACTGAGTATTGCATTAATTTCAATCTGAAATCATGATGAAACAACTATCAGAATTATAGGTAGAGAGCAGAATGCAGATGTTAATATTCTTAGTTAAATAAAAACAATAAAATAGAAGTCAGGATGTGGTTGGGAAGGAAGTGGGAGGGAGGGAGAGAAAGCATGATAAATTTCTCCACCTTTCATAGCAGAAAACCAAATAAAACTGTCTAAATTTTTTTCAAAATTAAACTCAACTCAAAAACATGATTCCCACCTCTGTTGTTTTTCATAATTCATTTTCTTTAAAATGAATCTGTATAATTGAGCTAATCTAAAAAGAAATAGCATGCATGAATCATTGTATTCCAGGTGCTATTCTCAATGTTCTACCTTATACCTTTTTACTCCTCACAACACCCTATGATTTAGATACTTTAAATCCCATTTTACAGATCAGAATTCCAAAGCACAGAAATGTTAAGTAATTTGCTCAAGTTCCCATAGAAAGTTTAAGTGATAGATCCTGGAGGTGGTACTTTTTCATACACAGAAACAATTCTACAAAATTTGACTTTATTTCCCTCCCTATTATCTTCAATTATAATTAAATTTGAAACATTTTACTTAATATGTATGGCAAAATTCATTTTTATAAAAATGATTTCTTTTATCTAGTTCTATTTCCAACTGTATATATGCACAGGAAAATGTCAGGAATGCGGCTCATCTAATATTACAATGTACTTCTGAGAGTTAAAATTGGTGGTGACGTTTTGCTCTCTGCTCTGTAATTACCAATGCTGTTTTAACTTTTACAATTGTATAATATATAAAATTAATAAAATATTAAATGCATGTCTTCAAATTTTTAGGAAAAAAAGTGATGCTCTTCCACCTATGCCATGAAATTGTAAGCAGCTATTTAAAGTAACATTGTTGGTAAGACTTACTGATGGGTAACCTTATTTTTGTAAAAACAGCCACTTTTTGATACAATATTCAAAGTGCATTTTAATTATGTAAAATTAAATATGTTTTATGTGTGTGTATATTTAGAGACAGACATAGAAGCATGCTTTCTATAGCTATCGGCAGTGGTTATATCTGAATGCTGGGACTTTAGATAATTTTTACTCTATTCTTTATTGCTTTTAGTGCTGATTCAATTATTAACCATAAGCACTTTATTAACTTAATTAGAATTTGTATATTCAGTTGGGGAATAGTAAAGGTGAAAGATGCATTTTTACTTGTCCCTCAGAGAGGCACCCTGATTACTGCACTCATGGTGTTAGGCAGATGTGTGAGTGTTTGGGTTTTTTCCACTATATTTTTTTCTTTGCTGATGATTGCCTAAAACCTGGCTTTGATTACTCACTTTGAGATTTAAGACAGCAGAAGCCTTTCAGCATTCAGTCATTTTGCCTGAGAGGGAAAAATAATGCTCTAGGGCAAGTTGAACGACAAGAAAGGAATTGATTATATTTTGACCTGTTGCTGCTCAATTAGATGAATTTGACCAGCTGTGGCAAGATTGTTTTCATGGACTAGTCTGCTTAGGGAACACGTCATTCTTGATCCTTCTCTAAAGATCTTGCTACTCTAAGTGGGTTTGGCGAACAGCAGCATAGGCCTCACCAGGAAGCTTATTAGAAATGCAGAAGCTTGAATCCCACAACAGCCTTACTTTTATCAACATCCTAGGGGATCCTTTGGTGCATTAAAGCATGAGAATCACTGACTTGAGAACATCATGATCCTATCTCTCTGTGCTCTGCTGGGGTTAAATGGGAACCGTATCAAAGTTAGAGAATCACGCACATTCAATGGAAAAGACCCCACATGCCACAAAGGAATGCCCCGGGCTGAGAAGTAAATAGACTCACAGGAAGAACTCACCCACACTCCTCATCACAAACCATACCCTGGACAAATAAATGCTCTGGAACCTACAAAGCCACAATTCAGAGATGGAAACTGACTTCTCTAAAGTCACATCTAAAGGCAGTAACATTTACACACCAAATTTGGAAACCAAAGGCCATGCGATTTAAATGTTCTGCGCTGCCTCTTCAGGGTACTGATTTCCAACCTCATTTTCAAATTGACTTATATCTGAAATGGTTCATGTGCTTGAGACCTGCAGTAATTTAGCTAGAAATTTCTTTGGTTCAAAATGATCAGCTGTCAATTTTTTTTTTTTTTTTGCAGTGGTTTAGGCAACAATTTAAAAATGATCTACCATTAGTATGTAGAGAAAAGACCTCAATGTTCTTTTATTTTATTCTTAAATATTTATTTAATAAATAACAAAGATGAAATAAATAAAATGTATTTGAATTATTAGAGTGGACAGAAAATAAGCGTATTATTACATACCACTATTGTAAAGAGTGTTTTTACACGCTTTGTTAGAGCAAGAATTTAAATGTCCTTAATGAGAAAAGTGGAACTATAGCACACTGAGCCAATTATGTAATTCTACCAAATTTTCCAGGAAATAAAGCTCACAATGTTTATTTAGCAAAACATGTGATTGCCAAGACTGTACCTGCAATGTGCCATTAATAATTCAATTTGCCTAATCACTACATCTAAGGAAAACATTTTGCATTTTGGTAGAAGCTTTAACTCTTTCTTCTTTTTCTTACCTACAACATGCCAGAGGTGAGTCTGAGGCTGGTATAGATATCTCTATTTTACAAATGAAGAACTGAGTCCCACAGATCAACTGTCACCCAAAGTGATGCTGTACTGGAGGACTGATGATTCTTCCTGAACTGTGGGCTCTGATTTGTTTGACCAGAAAGGACAATACCCATTAGATAGATTACTTTACAAATTAAAAGGATTATGTAAATTTCCAACTATTTCAAAATGATATAAGCATTCGGGAAGTCATTAGTGGCATTTAAATTTGAGTTTTAAATCTAAGGTGGATGACAATCTAGAGTCTTTGCCTTTGGGAGGAAGGGCTGGGGATTGGCGGAGAAAGGCATGAGAGGGCTTCTGCAAGGATGGTAATTTCTACATGATTAGTGGGGTGGATACCTATGTGATAAAGTGAGTATAGCAAAATGTTAATGGTAGAATCTTGGTGTGTATTCAGTGTTTGCTCTAAAATTCTTTCAATTTTTCTGTATGTGTAAAATTTTCTGTATGTTATAATATCAAATATACTATACTAAATAATAAAATATTATAAAAAAAGATACATTGTTTTAAATGGAGTTTTTACCCAATATATATTAGAAAACCCTTAAGTATGCATATAAATCACCTGTGTCTGCTTAATAAACACAATGTGAATGACTGTGCCTAAAAATTATACTCAGGGGAAGCACTTAGCACCTCATTGTATTTTTCTTAGAACAATTTTTTATTTATCCAAATGGTACTCTAATTTTACTAAAATGAAAACTGAGAGTATTTGCTCTTTTCTGGATATTTGAGAAGCATATTTATTTTCAGGGCAACTGATTGTTAATGAATTCCCTTACTATCCTTAATATCAGTAACTAAATAAACATTTCTAAATTATTTTCAAACAATTATAGACTTTTTTGTTCATTTTCTTTTCAAATGATCTCACTATTCTTAAGACAATCTTCAAATAAAGCAAAGAAAAAACATTTCCTTTTTTTTTTTTTTTTTTTTTTTTTTTTTTTTTTTTTTTTTTTTGAGACAGAGTCTTACTCTGTCACCCAGGCTGGAGGGCAGTGGCGCATCTCGGCTCACTGCAACCTCTGCCTCCTGGGCTCAAGCGATTCTCTTGCCTCAGCCTCCCGAGTAGCTGTGATTACAGGCACCCGCCACCATGCCAGGCTAATTTTTTGTATTTTTAGTAGAGACAGGGTTTCGCCATGTTGCCCAGGCTGGTCTGGAACTCCTGACCTCAGGCAATCTGCCCAACTCAGCCTCCCAAAGTGCTGGGATTACAGGCCTGAGCCACCGCGCCCAGGCAACATTTCCATTTTTAGTAACGTAGCAGAACCTTGCCATCAAGCTTGCTCATATTACCTTTTTTTGGCTGCAGTGGAAAACAAGTGCTTCCTCTTTCAAAAACTCCAGTGACTGACAGCTGTCAGTGTTGGCTGAGTTACCTTGCGTTGGTTTTGTCCATTCCACTTGTCTTTTGATTTCACAGTTCAAGGAGAAGAAGGCAAAAACAAACAAACCAGCCTTAAATAAGCAGAGTAACTCTCAAAGAAAACTATTTGGGACAACCTTCTTAAAAGAATAGGTAACAGGCCAGGCGTGGTGGCTCTCGCCTGTAATGCCAGCACTTTGGGAGGCCAAGAAGGGGAGATCACTTGAGGTCAGGAGTTTGAGACCAGCCTGGCCAACACAGTGTAACCCCGCCTCTACTAAAAATACAAAAATTAGCCGGACGTGGTAGCGCACTCCTGCAATCCCAACTACTCGGGATGCTGAGGCAGGAGAATCACTTGAACCCAGGAGGCAGAGGTTGCAGTGAGCTTGCGCGCCACTGCACTCCAGCCTGGGCAATACAGCGAGATTTGGTCTCAAAAAAAAAAAAAAAAAAGAAAGAAAAATAGAATAGGTAATAATCTTTTTCAAGTAACCTTGCTAATGCAGCAGTTTCATTTTTCGAAAGGGGATTGAGGAAAGATATATGTTTTCTCTCTTTGGCTCTGGCACCCACACACATGTACAAGCTTCACTAAGGCATGTCGTCACTGTACTTCATTCTTCCTTGAAACTCTGGGCTGCCAGAACATTCGCCTTTGCTGTGTTTTTCCTGCTACAGATGATGTGAGGTGGGCTTGCCTGTTTGTTGGAGATATTAAAGCTCACTAGCAATACTTCGTTAATGTTTAGTTTCCACTTGAGGATTTTTCTGATTTTTCAAATGCTTCACCAGGCTATCTGCCTTGATGTCACCTCGCGGTGGGATCTAACCCCTGTTTTAATGACCCCTTTCTATATTGATCCTCTTCAGATGGTTTTATTGAAGTTTTAAGCAACCCAAGCTTATTTGTGAGATCCTTTACTCAACTATTGAATAGCAACCGTGGAAGATGCATGTATTGTGACAGAGCTGATTTTTACTGGGGGGATGTCCAGGATATTGACATCTTTCAATCATACAAATATTAAAGGCAAGAGCTAATAAAGGCTGCTGGCTCCTTCCCACGTGCCCAAAGAGGTAGATGCCACAGGAGAGGGGAGGCTGATAGATCCTAGAACCTAACAAAGAACCAGAGGAAATCCCCGTGGAGAGAGAAGTTGCTGAGTCTTTGCTGCGGTGCATGTGGCGGAAGTGGCACTGAGGAGTCAGGACAGGAGGGAGAACGGGAGCCAGGTGGGGAGCATGTGTTAGCGGTATCCTTTTCTCTCCTCTTTTTTTTTTTTCAGACGGAGTCTCGCTCTGTCGCCCAGGCTGGAGGGCAGCGGCACGATCTCGCTCACTGCAACCTCCGCCTCCCGGGTTCAAGCGATTCTCCTGCCACAGCCTGCCGAGTAGCTGGGATTACAGGCACCCGCCACCATGCCCAGCTACTTCTTGTATTTTTAGTGGAGACGGGGTTTCACCATGTTGGCCAGGCTGGTCTTGAACTCCTGGCCTTAGGTGATCCACCTGCCTCGGCCTCCCAAAGTTTTGGATTACAGGCTTGAGCCACCGCGCCCGGCCTCTTCTCCATTATTTTATCTGCTGTTACTACAGAATGGAAAAACTACAGTTCCAGCCCATTGTCAGGGAGAGGAATGGTAACATCAGAGAATCTCCTAAACAGGCTTTGGGAGGAAAGAGTACAAAAACAGGTGCAATAAACTGGCCAGCCCTCTATACGTTCCCTCTGCCCCCCTCTCACCCCACTTCCCCCCTTGGCTAGATAATTCTAACCAACTGAGAATTTGAGGGCTTTTCGAAATAAGTGGTTTCTGGAACAGAGGTGCTCAGGGAGGCGAATTCTTAAGAGGCAAAGTCGCTTCATGGTAGGGGATGGGCGTGGAGTAACTCGGATTGTGCCATCAGACGCTCTCCAATCTGAGCATATGCTCCTTTTCCTAACCAACCAGGGGGTGGAAGCTAGGGCTGAGGTATTTGTCCCTCCCACTGTGTACACAGCACCAGCCAATATGGGTTAATAGATCCAAAAGGATATGAGCTCCCAGAGAAAATAAGGAGGTATCTGGCAAGCACAAGCGGCACAGAATTTAGATCACATATGGAAAATCTATGCTAAAGTCAGCAGAATTAACAAGCACAAAGAACAAGAATTTAAAATAAGCGTAATGACAATTTTCCATTGTATTTTCCATAAGGGAGAATATTGCAAACATTGAGCTGAGGTCAGCAATTATAATTAAGCAGCATTTGGTGAAAACGGACATAAAAAACTTTATAGCTATGTACAGACTTTAAAAGGTGGTGAATTTGCAGAACGGGTAGAGTGAAAAACAATTACTAAATTGTAATATTAGGTCCAGAAACTCTTCAAGAAGACATAAATAAGAGATAAAATTAGAAAAGTTAAGAGATACAGAGAAAAGGACAAAGTGAAAAAAGTCTATTTAATATGAGTCCTAGAGAGGGAGGAAAAATTTAATGCATGCAAGAAGTAGAAAAATGTAAACATCTGTATAATACAGAAGTTGTATAATCCAGAGGGAGAAGAAAAAATATATATAATTTAATGGAGGGAAAGTAGAAATGAGAATATTTTTAAAAAGAAAATACAGTAAATAAAAAAATGACAGGAAGAAGTATTCACAATAAGTATAAGTGGTGTAAACGAAGATCAAAGAATAAAGCATCTCAGACTGGATTAAAAACAATACAAACAAAATAATATAAGCCAACAATATAGTCTATGAGACATATTTATAATAAAAGGATATCTAAGATTTAAAATATGGGAATATCAGATAAATACAAGTTAAAATAACATATCGTAACTATTTTATCATTAGTTAAAATAAAATTTAAGATTTTATTAAGGATCAAAGAGTTGCATCATTTACTATAAGAAGGATAATTCGGCCAGGCGCGGTGGCTCATGCCTGTAATCCCAGCACTTTGGGAGGTCAAGATAGGAGAATCACGAGGTCAGGAGTTCGAGGCCAGCCTGACCAACATGGTCAAACCCCGTCTCTACTAAAAATACAAAAATTAACCGGGTGTGGTGGTGGGCGCCTATAGTCGCAGCTACTCAGGAGGCTGAGGTAGGAGTATCGCTTGAACCCAGGAGGCGGAGGTTGCCGTGAGCCAAGATCATGCCACTGCACTCCAGCCTGGGTGACAGAGTGAGACTCCATCTCAAAAAAAAAAAAAAAAAAAGGATAATGATAATTCAGTGAGGCTCTAAACTGATCTAGAATGTAATTGCATAGAATATAGCCTTAAATACATAAAGGAAAACTTAATATAGATTCATCTGCTTGGAGTTGAAGATTTTAATGGCCCCTGCTCCAAAATAGATGAGACAGATGATGCACACACACACAAGAAAGACTTAACAACACAACTTATAAATATAGATAGGCAGATAGAGGTATAGATATAGATGTAGACATAGACAGGTACTTACATATCAGAAAATACACATTCCTTTCAAACACATGTCAATAGTCATAGTAATTGACATGAGTTAGGCAAAAACAAAAGTTTAAAAAATTCTACAAAATCATATCATACGTATTATATTTTCAGATTATAATGCCATAAAATTAGAAAGCAAAATCTAAAGGAAGTTTGATCTGAAAGGTCCAAATAGTTATATCTAGTTTTCACAGGCTCATTAAATGCAACAGACGTTTATTAGGCATCTACTAAGCTGCTGTCCTTGAATACACTCAGAGTACTCAACGATGCCCATTGCAACACAAAAAAATCATAATTTATTTATTTTTATCTTATACTTTAAAAACTCCTGTGTTTTTATGTGCTTTATAATGTATATATTAGTATAGTATCTCAAGTATACAATGTATACATAAAATTATACACATACACACATATATATGATTAATATAACCACCTATATATGTGGTTATATTAATTTCCATAGAGGTGGTTATATTAGTTTCCTAGGGCTGCCATAACAAATTGCCATAAACTGGATGGCTTAAAACAGCAGAAATTTATTCTCACAATTTAAGAGGCTAGAAGTTCAAACCCAATGGTGTCAGCTGGGCTACATGCCCTCAGAAGGCCCCAGGGAAGAACACTTCCTCTCCTCTTCCTAGCCTCTAGTGTTTGCCAGCAATTCATGGTGGTCCTTGGCTTGCATTGCAGCTCCATCACTCCAATCCCTGCCTCCATCTTCACAAGGCCTCTTCCCCTGCATGTCTCTGGGCCTCCAAATCTCCTCCTCATGATAAGGACAGTAGTCATTGGATTTATAACTCGCCCTAATCCAGCATGACTTCTTTTTTTTTTTTTTTTTTTTTTTTTTTTGAGACGGAGTCTCGCTCTGTCGCCCAGGCTGGAGTGCAGTGGCGGGATCTCGGCTCGCTGCAAGCTCCGCCTCCCGGGTTCACGCCATTCTCCTGCCTCAGCCTCCCAAGTAGCTGGGACTACAGGCGCCCGCCACTACGCCCGGCTAATTTTTTGTATTTTTAGTAGAGACGGGGTTTCACCGTTTTAGCCGGGATGGTCTCGATCTCCTGACCTCGTGATCCGCCCGCCTCGGCCTCCCAAAGTGCTGGGATTACAGGCGTGAGCCACCGCGCCCGGCCCCAGCATGACTTCTTAACTTGAATGTATTTGCAAAAACCCTGTTTCCAACGAAGGTCATGATCACAAGTAACGGCGTTCAGGACTTCACCATATTCAACCCACGACAGTGATATATGCTAGAACATGTTTTTTAAATATAATGGAAGTATACAATCTAAAAAAAGTAGACCCCTGGTGTGAAGCTCTAGGATAAGTACCATGACAGACACAGGTGTATATCAGATGTGGTGTTAACATGCTAGCAGCCCGTGGGAGATATCACAGGTTCATTGGTTACCACAATATGCTCTGAAGAGAAATGTCCCAAGAAGAGTTCTGACAATGGTCTAAAGCAGCTTATAGCAAAAGGTGTCATAACCAGGTGTGGGAAGCATGAAAGGTTTTGCTAAGGGGGTAATGTCTGTATTGAGCACTGAGTTATGTGTTATCAGAAATGAACGTTCTATAAAGTGCATTCCCAGCACAGACACTGTGCCCAGGGGGAGGGCAGGAATGCTGAATACAGTTTGCTTTAGTAGAGTAGTGGACAGAAAAATAAGATGAGATCATATTGCAGAATCCCTTTGGACACAGAAGGAAGTGTTTATTTTGTGGATGTTTTTGTTTTCTTTTTCCTTCTTCTGTACTTGGTGGCAATTGAGAGGACTGAATGGGTTTGAGCAGAATATTATTCTGGCAGCAGCGTGCATACAATGGCTGGGAAGATGCATAGACAAGAGGTGCAGTAGAAGCCTGTTTTAATATGTGAGCCAAGAAAAAAAGGAACTAAAGCAACACAATGCGTGTGGGAATAGAAAGGAGGAATCCATGGATATTACAAAAGTAGAATAAAATAACCTGGCATGGGACTGCATGGAGGGACAAGTTGGAAGAAGTCAGAGGATAGTTAGGTCTTGAGCTTGGGCAGTCAAGAGGCCAATGAAATCAGCCAGCAAAATAGAGGCCTCAAGAGGAAAATAGAAACTGTTTAGGTGGGAGTTTAAGGTTGGGATTTCAATATACTGAGACTTAAGAACAACAGGTGAGGATGTCAGACAAGTAGAGGGGAAGGTGTGTAGTGCAGCTGCAACTCCAGGGTCAGGAGTCATGGGGCCAGACAGAGGTGACAATGGAAGCTCTGGGGATTTATTTGCCTTTAAGGAAAAAAAGAAAAGAAAAAAAGATGAGGTGCAATGGTGCTGGGAGTCTTCATTTATTAATTAGTTCCTCTTTGAGCTCTCTTCCATGTCCTCCAACAGACTTCATAAATGTAGTCTCTGAAGAATGCTTTGTAGCAAAACAGGCTCTTCCTCTCCCTCCCCATATATTTATTTTTTATTCTTTGCCTATTAGTTTAGCTCATTTCAAGCTCACTGAAGTGGATGGCCACAGAGAATTCTGGGGAGGTCTGAATTTGAATAAATGTTTTGAAGATACACAAGCACACACACACGCACACACACATAAGTATTCCAGGCATTGTGTTAGAAGCTGGGATACATGGGGAACCTGAGCTTGAAGGATCCTCCAGTTTAGTGAATAAATTTTCAATTCTATAGGGGAGAAAGGGTAAAAGCAGGATTGGAGGTGTGCAAAGTTGGCAATGCCAAGTGGGGAAAGGTAGTAGCTTTCAGGTTTAGCAGGGGCAGACAAAAATCTATTGTTTTTAATGAGGGAGAGGATGCAGGCAGGATTATTCAGAGAAAAGGTACCCACAAGAAGGCAAGACAAGTCAGGTGAGAGAGAGGAGGATGGAAAAGTGCAACCCAAGAGCAAGCACAAGTGATGGGGCGGGAGCACTCGTCCCAGGCTGGGCTTCACTCTTCGCTTCACTCTTCTTCTTGGAGAGGAGAAGAAAACAGGGAAGTTAATTTGAGGATGGAGAAGTAAAGTTGAAGCAGCAGACATTAGATAATGTATCAGTTAATATAACTGGACTTCAAAGATAAAGAATCATTGAACCTGCAAGTAAAAATATCAAGGGAAAAAGATCCAGACTCTGCATAATGTGAGAACCAGTTGGAGTTCTGCCCCCAAGTCGTCAAAGAAAGAGAGCATGACCTACAAATGGCCCATCCATTCAAGCTGTCTGTCACGTACAATGACAGCAGACAAATAGTTTGGAAGATGCAAAAGACCCAGTGACTATACACCCCAGCTTTACTGCATAAAAAAGAATTAAGAAGCAATTGCAAAAAAGGGGAGAGATAAAACGGTGTTTGAAAAGCAATTAACACATATGTAAATATCTCTTCCTTTTTCTCCTATACTTCAGATAACATTTGGAGTTAAATGAAGTGTCATGGCCAAGAAAACAAACTACATGTGAAATATTTCACATGGACAACTTTCATTCCTTTGGACAACAAAATGAGTTTCAAACCAATGTTGAAGTCGAATTTGTGAAACAAATTTATTCAAAGGTTGAAAACTACCTTCACTGTAAAAAACACAAAGAGCTTGTAATATTACTGAGTTATCATGTGATTGATACAGTGCATTACTTCAATTTCTAACATTACTCTTAGTGAAGGAATGAGTGATTACAACTTTAACAGTCTGACTTAAACGACCATATGTAGGAATTTGCCATTTTTAAATTTTTTTATTTTATTTTTATGGTAACTGTCTTGTGCCTTCTATGTTTGGAAAAATCTCCACCTGATGAGTTTTGCTGAGAGACCATCACTTCCCAAATGCTTGTTTGCCAGGCTCCCTTGAAGACAGCTTGGGCACCTAACTGAGGTTTGGCCCATCAACTGTACCAAGTCAAGAATGACTTAGGAGTTCATGATGAAAAGAGGAAATCTACAGGGAAGCTTTGGTGGTTGTGGGCAACCTCAATAGCAGCAGTTGCATTGAGTTTCCAGGGACCACAGTGGCAAAAGTACAGAGGAGGTCTCACAGCCAGTGTCAGGTCTCTGAGCCCAAGCTAAGCCATCATATCCCCTGTGACCTGCACGTACACATCCAGATGGCCAGTTCCTGCCTTAACTGATGACATTCCACCACAAAAGAAGTGAAAATGGCCTGTTCCTGCCTTAACTGATGAGATTGTCTTGTGAAATTCCTTCTCCTGGCTCATCCCGGCTCAAAAGCTCCCCTACTGAGCACCTTGTGACCCCACTCTGCCCACCAGAGAACAACCCCCCTTTGACTGTCATTTTCCTTTATCTACCCAAATCCTATAAAACAGCCCCACCCTTATCTCCCTTTGCTGACTCTCTTTTCGGACTCAGCCCGCCTGCACCCAGGTGAAATAAACAGCCGTGTTCCTCACACAAAGCCTGTTTGGTGGTCTCTTCACACGGACGCGTATGAAATTTGGTACCATGACTCGGATTGGGGGGACCTCCCTTGGGAGATCAATCCCCTGTCCTCCTGCTCTTTGCTCCATGAGAAAGATCCACCTACGACCTCAGGTCCTCAGACCAACCAGCCCAAGAAACATCTCACCAATTTCAAATCCAGTAAGTGGCCTGTTTTTACTCTCTTCTCCAACCTCCCTCACTATCCCTCAACCTCTTTCTCCTTTCAATCTTGGTGCCACACTTCAATCTCTCCCTTCTTTTAATTTCAATTCCTTTCATTTTCTGGTAGAGACAAAGGAGACACATTTTATCTGTGGACCCAAAACTCCGGCGCCGGTCACGGACTGGGAAGGCAGCCTTCCCTTGGTGTTTAATCATTGCAGGGACACCTCTCTGATTATTCACCCATGTTTCAGAGGTGTCAGACCATGCAGGGACGCCTGCCTTGGTCCTTCATCCTTAGCGGCAAGTCCCACTTTTCTGGGGTAGGGGCAAGTACCCCAACCCCTTCTCTCCATGTCTCTACCCCTTCTCCACCTTTCTGGGGGGCAAGAAACCCCCAACCCCTTCTCCTTCACTCTTAGCAGTAAGTCCCACTCTTCTAGGGGAGGGGGAAGTACCCCAACCCCTTCTCTCCATGTCTCTACCCCTTCTCTGCCTTTCTGGGGGGCAAGAAACCCCCAACCCCTTCTCCTTCACTCTTAGCAGTAAGTCCCACTCTTCTAGGGGAGGGGGAAGTACCCCAACCCCTTCTCTCCATGTCTCTACCCCTTCTCTGCCTTTCTTGGGGGCAAGAAACCCCCAACCCCTTCTTCTTCACCCTTAGCAGCAAGTCCCGCTTTTCTAGGGGTGGGGCAAGTACTCCAACCTCGTATCCCTGCACCCTGATTCCTTACTTCTGCACCACAACCTCTTATATCTCTACACCCTGATCCCTTATTTCCACACCCCGGCCTCGTATCTCTGTGCCCTGACCCCTTTCCCGCTTTTCTGGAGGGTAAGAACCCCCGAACAACTTCCCTCTGTGTCTCTACTCTCCCTTTTCTTTAAACTTGCCTCCTTCACTATAGGCAACCTTCCACCCTCCATTCCTCCTTCTTCTCCCTTAGCCTGTGTTCTTAAGAACATAAAACTCTTCAACTCTCACCTGACCTAAAACTTAAATGCCTTATTTTCTTCTACAATGCCGCTTGACCCCAATACAAACTTGACAGTGGTTCTAAATGGCCAGAAAATGGCACTTTCGATTTCTCCATCCTCCAAGACCTAAATAATTTTTGTCGAAAAATAGGAAAATGGTCTGAGGTGCCTGATGTCCAGGCACTCTTTTACACATCAGTCCCTCCCCAGTCTCTGTGCCCAGTGCAACTCATCCCAAATCTTCCTTCTTTCCCTCCCACCTGTCCCCTCAGTCCCAACCCCAAGCATCGCTGAGTCTTTCTAATCTTCCTTTTCTACAGACCCATCTGACCTCTCCCCTCCTCCCCAGGCCGAGCTAGGTCCCAATTCTTCCTCAGCCTCCGCTCCTCCACCCTATAATCTCTTTATCACCTCCCCTCCTCACACCCGGTCCAGTTTACAGTTTCATTCCATGAGTAGCCCTCCCCAACCTGCCCAGCAATTTCCTCTTAAAAAGGTGGCTGAAGCTAAAGGCATAGTCAAGGTTAATGCTCCTTTTTCTTTATCAGACCTCTCCCAAATTAGTGAGCGTTTAGGCTTTTTCATCAAATATGAAAAACCCAGCCCAGTTCATGGCTCGTTTGGCAGCAACCCTGAGACGCTTTACAGCCCTAGACCCTGAAAGGTCAAAAGGCCGTCTTATTCTCAATATACATTTTATTACCCAATCTGCTCCCGACATTAAATAAAACTCCAAAACTTAAATTCCGGCCCTCAAACCCCACAACAGGATTTAATTAACCTTGCCTTCAAGGTGTAGAATAATAGAAAAAAGTCGCAATTCTTTGCCTCCACTGTGAGACAAACCCCAGCCACATCTCCAGCACACAAGAACTTCCAAACGCCTGAACCGCAGCTGCCAGGGGTTCCTCCAGAACCTCCTCCCACAGGAGCTTGCCACAAGTGCCAGAAATCTGGCCACTGGGCCAAGGAATGCCCACAGCCCAGGATTCCTCCTAAGCCATGTCCCATCTGTGCGGGACCCCACTGAAAATTGGACTGTTCAACTCACCTGACAGCCACTTCCAGATCCCCTGGAACTCTGGCCCAAGGCTCTCTGACTGACTCCTTCCCAGATCTTCTCGGCTTAGCAGCTGAAGACTGACACTGCCCGATTGCCTCAGAAGCATACAGGAGCATCACAGACGCTCTAGGTAACTCTCACAGTGGAGGGTAAGTCTGTCCCCTTCTTAATCAATGTGGAGGCTACTCACTCCACATTACCTTATTTTCAAGGGCCTGTTTCCCTTGCTTCCCTGTTGTGCATATTGACGGCCAGGCTTCTAAACCTCTTAAAACTCCCCAACTCTGGTGCCAATTTAGACAATACTCTTTTAAGCACTTCTTTTTAGTTATCCCCACCTGCCCAGTTCCCTTATTAGGCCGAGACACTTTAACTAAATTATCTGCTTCCCTGACTATTCCTGGGCTACAGCCACACCTCATTGCTGCCTTTTCCCCCGTTCAAAGCCTCCTTCACATCCTCCCCTTGTATCTCCCCACCTTAACCCACAAGTATAAGATACCTCTACTCCCTCCTTAGTGACCAATCATGTACCCCATACCATCCCATTAAAACCTAATCACCCTTACCCCACTCAATGCCAATATCCCATCCCACAGCATGCTTTGAAAGGATTAAAGCCTGTTATCACTCGCCTGTTACAGCATGGCCTATAAACTCTTCTTACCATTCCCCCATTTTACCTGTTCTAAAACCAGACAAGGCTTACAGGTTAGTTCAGAATCTGCGCCTTATCAACCAAATTGTTTTGCCTATCCACCCCGTGGTGCCAAACCCATATACTCTCCTAACCTCAGTACCTCCCTCTACAACCCATTATTCTGTTCTGGATCTCAAACATGCCTTCTTTACTATTCCTTTGCACCCTTCATCCCAGCCTCTCTTTGCTTTCACTTGGACTGACCCTGACACCCATTAGGCTCAGCAAATTACCTAGGCTGTACTGCCGCAAGGCTTCACAGACAGCCCCCATTACTTCAGTCAAGCCCAAATTTCATCCTCATCTGTTACCTATCTCGGCATAATTCTCATAAAAACACACGTGCTCTCCCTGCTGATCGTGTCCGATTAATCTCCCAAACCTCAGTCCCTTACAAAACAACAACTCCTTTCCTTCCTAGGCATCGTTAGTGCAGTCAGAATTCTTACACAAGAGCCAGGATCGCACCCTGTAGCCTTTCTGTCCAAACAACTTGTCCTTACTGTTTTAGCCTAGCTATCATATCTCTGTGCAGCAGCTGCTGCCGCCCTAATACTTTTAGAGGCCCTCAAAATCACAAACTATGCTCAACTCACTCTCTACATTTCTCATAACTGCCAAAATCTGTTTTCTTCCTCGCACCTGACGCATATACTTTCTGCTCCCCGGCTCCTTCAGCTGTACTCACTCTTTGTTAAGTCCCACAATTACCATTGTTCCTGGCCTGGACTTCAATCCGGCCTCCCACATTATCCCTGATACCACACCTGACTCCCATGACTGTATCTCTCTGATCCACCTGACACTCACCCCATTTCCCCATATTTCCTTCTTTCCCGTTCCTCACCCTGATCACGCTTGATTTATTGATGGCGGTTCCACCAGGCCTAATCGCCACACACCAGCAAAGGCAGGCTATGCTATAGTACAAGCCACTAGCCCGTCTCTTAGAACCTCTCATTTCCTTTCCATCATGGAAATCTATCCTCAAGGAAATAACTTCTCAGTGTTCCATCTGCTATTCTACTACTCCTCAGGGATTATTCAGGCCCCCTCCCTTCCCTACACATCAAGCTCAAGGATTTGCCCCCACCCAGGACTGGCAAATTAGCTTTACTCAACATGCCCCGAGTCAGATAACTAAAATACCTCTTAGTCTAGGTAGACACTTTCACTAGATAGGTAGAGGCCTTTCCTACAGGGTCTGAGAAGGCCACCGCAGTCATTTCTTCCCTTCTGTCAGACATAATTCCTCAGTTTAGCCTTCCCACCTCTATACAGTCTGATAACAGACCAGCCTTTATTAGTCAAATCAGCCAAGCAGTTTTTCAGGCTCTTAGTATTCAGTGAAACCTTTATATCCCTTACGGTCCTCCGTCTTCAGGAAAAGTAGAACGGACTAAAGGTCTTTTAAAAACACACCTCACCAAGCTCAGCCACCAACTTAAAAAGGCCTGGACAATACTTTTACCACTTTCCCTTCTCAGAATTCAGGCCTGTCCTCGGAATGCTACAAGGTACGGCCCATTTGAGCTCCTATATAGATGCTCCTTTTTATTAGGCCCCAGTCTCATTCCAGACACCAGACCAACTTAGACTGTGCCCCAAAAAACTTGTCATCCCTACTATCTTCTGTCTAGTCATACTCCTATTCACCGTTCTCAACTACTCATACATGCCCTGCTCTTGTTTACACTGCGGGTTTACACTGTTTCTCCAAGCCATCACAGCTGATATCTCCTGGTGCTATCCCCAAACTGCCACTCTTAACTCTTGAAGTAAATAAATAATCTTTGCTGGCAGGACTATGCTGAATCTCCTTAGGCACTCTCTAATTAGATGTCCTAGGTCATCCCAATTCTTAGACCTTTTATATCTGTTTTTCTCCTTCTCTTATTCCATTTAGTTTTTCAATTCATATAAAACCGTATCCAGGCCATCACCAATAATTCTACATGACAAATGTTTCTTCTAACAACCCCACAATATCACCCCTTACCACAAAATCTTCCTTCAGCTTAATCTCTCCCACTCTAGGTTCCCATGCCGCCCCTAATCCCGCTGGAAGCAGCCCTGAGAAACATCGCCCATTATCTCTCCATACCACGCCAAAAAATTTTCACCGTCCCAACACATTACCACTATTTCATTGTATTTTTCTTATTAATATAAGAAGACAGGAATGTCAGGCCTCTGAGCCCAAGCTAAGCCATCGTATCCCCTGTGACCTGCATGTACACATCCAGATGGCTGGTTCCTGCCTTAACTGATGACATTGTCTTGTGAATTTCCTTCTCCTGGCTCACCCCGGCTCAAAAGCTCCCCTACTGAGCACCTTTTGACCCCACTCTGCCCGACAGAGAACAACCCCCCTTTGACTGTAATTTTCCTTTATCTACCCAAATCCTATAAAACGGCCCCACCCTTATCTCCCTTCACTGACTCTCTTTTTGGACTCAGCCCGCCTGCACCCAGGTGAAATAAACAGCCATGTTCCTCACACAAAGCCTGTTTGGTGGTCTCTTCACATGGACGTGCATGAAAGCCAGGGCTGGGCAGTGGTGGCCCAACTTGTGGCATCGACTGTTTAGTGGTGACATCTGCAGTGTCTTCTCCTGACAACTGCAGTGCGATTGTAGCAGTGATTCTCATGCTGGCTCCCTGTCCAGCCACCGATTTATCTACCACTGTGGTCTCTGGAAATTCACAGACAAGTCTGCAGAATAGATGCATATATACATATTCACATAGCACAAAAGGAAAATCCTAGAACTCAAATATACCATTTCACTTAATATAGCTTTTCAATTGTAACTCCCAATTTTACTGTACTCTACAGGTTAGATAACTTGTACCCTACACTTTTCCACTTTCAGGTTCCTGATATTCCTGCTCCTCTTGCCTGGGATAAAATCTCCTTTTCTCTCCAGTGACTTCTGCTTTTCAAAAATTTACCCTCCTTTGACAAATGAGCCAAAGGCGCTGGTTGCCTCTGAGTCCTTGGACCCTAAAAGGACTGCACAGGTGGGTCAGAAGAGAAACTAATTTGTGTTTTTGATGAGTGGCAGCTCCCTGCTGAGTCCTAGGTAGCAGAGCACTGACCATCTCCCCAGAGAGCAAGGCGGGCTGGCTCATGGCTTAAACTGAGTGAACTTCCTTCCTTCCTTTCTAGCAATCAAAGGGAGAGGGCACCTTGCCAGCCAAGAGTGTGAATCTCCTCCTAGGTACTTCCCTACCACTTTTCTCTTTCTCCTCGTGGGGATTCTCTCTCCCAAGTGCCACCCTAAATAAGAACCTTGTACTTCATCGGCTGATACACCAGCCCCGCTGGAATGGGAAAAGGAGTTAGCTTTTTTCCCCCAGTATATTTGTTACTGCTGTTTCTTTTGCTACACATCAAAAAGGGCCCTAATTAGATGGGGCTCCAGAGCCCATTTTTACTAGCCAGACCTCTTGCTGTGTTCCTCAACCTCCCATTTAAATTCCAGGCCCTCCTCAGTGTATTTTCTGACCCCTCTCCTGCTCATTTCTCATCCCCTACTGCATGCAATCTCTTCTTTTCTTTTTAATTCCACATCCATTAGTGTTTCTCTTAAAGTAATTGCATTTAAAATTAGGTGTAACAATTACAAATGATGTGTACTCCTTTTATAGTAATCCCATTCTTTACCCCTTCCTATACTTTAATTTACCAAAGGAAACTAAGAACCAGACCTGTTCACAGACTCAGTCAGTCATTCAACGATCACTAGTTGAGTGCTCACTTGGTCAAGAATTGTGCTTGGATTTGAACACACAATGATGAAGGGATCAGACTTTGACTTCAGGGAATTCAAAGCCTAGTGGGAGAGAGAGGCATTAACATTGCAACGCGTTATTGTAAGTTCAAGCAAGGAGAAATGTGCAAATTACGGGATTACAGGAGATCCCATAATCCACCAGAGTGGGTTTGGGGAGTGGGGAGGATGGAACTGCAAAGACTTCCTAAAGAGGTAGAACTTGAAGTCATTTTTAAAAGATGCATAGAAAAGGTTGGGCATGGTGGCTCAAGCCTATAATCCCAGCACTTTGAGAGGCTGAGGGGAGCGGATCACAAGGTCAGGAGTTCGAGACCAGCCTGGCCAACATGGTGAAACCCAGTCTCTACTAAAAATAGAAAAATTAGCCGGGCGTGGTGGCATGCACCTGTAGTCCCAGCTACTTGGGAGGCTGAGGCAGAAGAATCACTTGCACTGGGGAGGTGGAGGTTGTACTGAACTGAGATTGTGTCACTGCACTCCAGCCTGGGCGGCAGAGCAAGACTTCATCTCAAAAAAAAAAAAGTGCATAGAAAAAAAATCAAAATGCATAGAAAAAAATAAAAATAAATCAAAAATCAAAATCAAAAAAGTAAAAAATAAAAATGGTGGAAGAGACCTTCCCAGTAGAGGCATGGCATGATCAAAGGCAGGGAAGTAAACAATGGTCGATGTTCAGTGTTCAGTGTTGTTAGAGTATAAAATACAAAAGATAAAATTTGAGGGAAGGCAGAGGCCAGGTCAGAGTCAGATATATATACACCATGTCAAAGAACTTGGGGTTTATTCTGCCGGTCCTGGAAAGCCAATGAAGGATTTTAAGGCATTTTTCACAATTTGCTTTGTGAAAAATGAATGTGATGGGAAAAAGATCAAAGGATGGTAAAATAAGCAGGGGCTGGTACAATATTCCCCACTAGAGAGTATCTGTTCTAGGATAGCGTAAGGTGAAAGAGGCAGTGATGGCTTGAAGAAATAATTATAGAGATAATTATAAACTAAAAATTGATGGCTTTGGGGGATATATTTTTGTGAGAGAGTAAGAAGGATGGCAGTAAGCATTCACAGATGCTTTCACAGTTTGTTGACTGGATATAGAATCAAGCTAGAGTAAATACAGAGCCAAAGATGATGCCATCAGCGTGGATCGGTTGAGTTTAGCTAAAGTGGAGCTAGTGCCTAGATGGAGATTGAATCGTTAGCTTTATCAGGAATTAGGTAAACAATCTGAATTTCAGGAGAGAATTCTGTGCTGGGCAGATGTGGGACTCATCAGTATGTAGAATGTGGTTGAGCACATGAGAATGGGCATATGGGTACAGAGATTATCTGATGAGAGAAAAACAACTGGGCTGAAGCTAACACAGGGATACCAATGGCAATGGGGCAAATAAAGGGGCCACACAGGACATGGAGCTAAAATGCTCAGAGATGTATGAGGAGAACCAAAAAAGCTGAGATGTCAAGTGAGGAAGTGAACTGTCATGTCAGATCTGATAAGAACGGAGGAGCATCTGGTAAATACGGCAACAAGTCCATGTGGTGGGGGCTAAAGCCAAACCCTAGGGTGCTGAGTAGTCTATGTGAAGTGAGGAAGTAAGAAGCCACGTGAAGTCAATTCTTTTGAGAAGCTTAGTTGGTGAGGGATGGAGGGCAAATGGATGGTGGAAGATGATTGGGAATTCATACGAATCAGCTCTGCAAAGTTTAAACTGCCATGTGTGCAAATCACCCGTAGCAGCACCTGATCACAACGTTCAGAGCCATCCATTAACCCTAGACCTCTGGCCATCACTCAGATAATGGGACATGGCCCGTAGCAGGTGCTCTTAAGATGGATCAAACTGGCGAATAGATGTGGATGGTTAGGCAACTGTCTAGTAAAGATGATTAAAATAGATAGACAAGCCATGTGTGCATTTGCAGTTTTTTCCAGTCAGCATTGCTGTCAAGCTGAATTATTAGGCCTTGGTTCTCTGCTAAGGCATTTCCCACAGACACACTTTGCCATGAAAACCAGGCAAAGAGGCAATTAAAGAAAAGACCAGCCATATAAAAAGGCTTTTTGAGTCATATCCTAGCCTGTGCCATTTCTGCTGCCTTCTCATGTCCTCAGACTAACTTTGCCCTGTCCTGGCCTCACATTGCTGTCATTGTCTCCATGGTCCTGTTTTGAGACATATTTACAGGTGCTCTCACACCAACTGATGTCCAATAGTAAAAGTCATTTTCTCTGTTTTCTTCCAGCTTTGTCTGATAAGCGTTTATAATGAACATTGAGATCTCTTTCAATATTGAAAAAGACAGATTGAATTTTAGATGTTAGCCTGAAGAAACCAGTCCTAGGGGACTGATAGTTTTTTGTTTTTCATTGCCAGATTTGAAATACTTTTGGGTCACTAGGACTATATTTCATTGACCTTGCAATATGGTTTGGCTGTGTCCCCAGCCAAATCTCACCTTGAATTTTAACTCCCACAATTCCCATGTGCCATGGGAGAAAACTGGTGGGAGGTGATTGAATCATGGTGGGGGGGGGTCATTCCCATGCTGTTCTCATGATAGTGAATAAGTCTCACGAGATCTGATGGTTTTAAAAACGGGAGTTTCCCTGCACACGCTCTCTTTTCTTGCCTGCTGCCATCCGCATAAGATGTGACTTGCTCCTCCTCGCCTTCCACCACAATCGTGAGGCTTCCCCAGCCACATGGAAGTGTAAGTCCAATTAAACCTCTTTCTTTTGTAAATTGCCCAGTCTCAGGTATGTCTTCATTAGCAGCATGAAAACAGACTAATATACTTTGAAATGCAGGACTTTAAAGCCCCGAAAACAAGGCTGAGATTCTTTATTTCTTTCCTCCTTTTCCTTCCTTCCTCCCTCCCTCCATCCCTCCCTCCCTCCGTCCCTTCCTCCCTCCCTCCCTCCCTCCCTCCCTTCCTTCCTTCCTTCCTTCCTTCCTTCCTTGATACAGGGTCTCACTCTGTCACTCATGCTGGAGTGCAGTGGCATAATCATGGCTCACTGCAGCCTTAATATCCTGGACTCAAGTGGTTCTCCCTCCTCAACCTCCTGAGTAGCTAGGACTATAGTGTGTACCATGGCTATATTTTATTTTTTATTTTTTGTAGAGATGAGGTCTCACTATGTTGCCCAGGCTGGTCCTGGTCTTGAACTCCTAGCCTCAAGTGATCCTCCTACTTCAACCTCACTTTTGCTGGGATTACAGGTATGAGCCTCTGTACTCAGCCTAGTTTGACAGCCTACATGAAGATCTAGGTGGGATTAAAAGTCCACTCTGACTTAAGCAGAACAGTTTCTTCTCTCTCACTACTCTGAATGCTGGGCTGCCTGGATGTGAATTCTGGGGACTCCATTATACTGTCTATCATAGACCCTGCTTGTTTGCTCCCTGGAGGCTGGAAATGAACCAGTATGAGGCACAATGGGAGGGGGAAGGCTGTTCTCTACTGGAAGCCTGGACAGTTTCTCAAAGTCCTTAGCTTCCATCTCTAAAGTTACCTTCTCCATGCTCAGCACACCCTCTTATTTCAGGAATTCAGTCTCCACATCTCCATTTGGTTTGTAGGCTCACCCTTCTCATCTGTCAGGAATTGACAGGGATTCATTGACTTCTCAGTAGCCTACACCCCATCACTGCAGAGATCTCAGACTGGGCAAGTGGTAACCTTGGATGGCCATGATGTGTTACCTGATTAAGAAATACTGAAAATGTTGCCTATAAAACTAACAGACCTTGTACACCAAGAGAGGATGCTTTGAAATTTGTTGATGTCTTTTTTCCTTCACTTGGCTCAGGTCCTTGCGTGTTTAAGAAGAAATGCCAATCCCTCTGGTTTTCTTTGCTGGAGCAGCAAAGAGCAGCAAGGTGCCCAGCAGGAGCTCCTGGCACAACAAGCTCATGCTGTGGAGAGACTCCTCACCAGGCGATCAGCAGAGCCAATCCTGCCACCAACAGATGTGTTGAATGCAGAGACTAAACTGTGATTGTTTTCCTCCAACACACAAACACCCATTACACACCAAACCCCAGCTGTCTTCCAACAACCGGCAGCCCAGGTTGAGTTGCTATGTGTACACAGTTAGTTTCAACCCACCATACCAGCAGTCACAGATTCCTGGGCCCCAGAGTCCAGTTTAGGAAAGGGGGACAGTTCTGCTCAACAGTGAATTCTGGTATACCTCCGAGGGACCAGAACTGGCTTAAGAAAGGCTAGAAACACACTGTTGAAAAGAAAGTCCAATAAGGAAATTCTAATGGAATATAATTCTATACACATTTAAGAGGATGAGTATAATTTTTTATTCCTTTGCAAAATTGGAAATGCAGCCCTACTTTGAAGACCATTTTCCTTACCTGGCATACAAGCATTAGAGGGCAGGAGGAATATGCTAAAGAGTGAGGGTCTGGCATAATGAGGCCTTCATGTGAGTATCCATTGAGGAAGCAATGCAGCCACCATAGTCAGAACAATGCAGCCGCCATAGAAAATGCACCCAGAGGATGGGCGCAGTGGCTCACACCTGTAATCCCAGCATTTTGGGAGGCCGAGGCGGGCAGATCACCTGAGGCCAGGAGTTTGAGACCAGTCTGGCCAATATGGTGAGACCCTGTCACTACCAAAAATGTAAAAATTAGCCAGCCCTGGTGGTGTGTGCCTGTAATCCCAGCTACTCAGGAGGCTGAGGCAGGAGAATTGCTTGAACCTGGGAGGCGGAGGTTGCAGTGAGCCAAGATTGCACCACTGCACTCCAGCCTGGGCGACAGAGCGAGACTCCATCTCAAAAATTAATTAATTAATTAATTAATTAAAGAAAAATGCACCCAGAAATGGAGTGAAAACATGAGAGTGAAAACCGACCAGACAGTAGTCAAGTGACAAATACAACTTCCACAGACAAGCCAATAAGGATGGCTTTAATGGAACACCAGCGAAGGAGAGAATAAAAACTGGGATTGGGAAGGGACTGGAGATGAGAAGAAGAAAGGGACAGCCAGCTGGGATGAAAACAAGGACAGGAAGAGGGAGCAAAAGACAAGAAAGTTGTGCGTGGAAGGGCAGGCATGGAGAAAGTGCAAGAGTTGGAAGGAAACAGTCAGTTTCGGTTCTGCTGGCCTGTAATCCCAGCTATTTGGGAGGCTGAGGCAGGGGATTGGATCGCTTGAGCCCAGGAGTTTAAGAATAGCTTGGGCAACATTGTGAGAGCCAGTCTCCATAAAAAGGAGTTGGAAAGAAACACATGAGACACATGATAGTCAAATGACATAAACCTGGTTAATAAATAAATGATGGATAATCGTTAACTCATTGTAATACTATGTTTTAAAAAAAATTTAAAGGCAGAGATTACTGGCAGAAAAAAAGGTAAATTCCAATCACTGAAAGTGATCAGATAAAAGTCAGTAATGGTAAATATACTACTATCTTATCTTGCTCAAAACTCTTGTTCCCCAAATGTCAACCAGCTCCTCAAGTAAACTGCCACTGCTTTATTTCTATTAGTCATGAGTTTAAGACTTGAACAGATTTAATTCTATGTCATAAGAAGCAACTAGGCCATTATATAACAGAGGTGATTTATGTTATTTTCTCCTCCACAGCTTCTGGGCACAGAATGTTTTTCTTTTCTTTTCTTTTCTTTTTTTGAGAGAGGGTCTCCTCTGTTACCCAAGCTAGAGTGCAGTGACACATCACAGCTGACTGCAGCCTCAACTTACCAGGCTCTGGCAATCTTCCTGCTTCGGCCTCCCAAGTTGCTAGGACTACAGGAGTGCACGGTCATGTCCAGCTAATTTCTTTATTTATTCATTCATATATATATATATATATATATATATATTTTTTTTTTTTTTTTTTTTTTTTTTTTTTTTTTTGTAGAAATGGTGTCTTGCTCTGTTGTCCAGGCTGGTCTCAACTTCTGGCTTCAAGTGATCCTCCCACCTCATCCTCCCAAAGTGCTGGGATGACAGGCGTGAGGCACCACATCCAGACTGAGATTTTTTGAGTTAGGCTGATTTGCCTAACTCAACCTAGATGTGGCGTGCGGGTGACACCATCCCACAGGACCCCAGCTCCACCTGCTTATTGCACTTCTTTCAACCCTGTCTTGTCCTGGGTTCCAGAGGGCAAGAGTAAGAGGGAGAAAGCAGGGAAACAGGAGGAAATGCTTCCATATTACCCATCGCAACTTCAATGCATGTTGCTAGAGGCAGTTTTGGAACCCAGGATGTCAACTGGGAAAATATTGTGGTATTCCAGGATGGAACAGAGACAAAGTGACAAATTTGGAAACTACTTAGAAGGTAAGGATAAGAATTAATTGGGTTAGGATGAGAAAGAAAAAGCAAGCGATGTATGGCTTGCGTAAATGGATGCATACGGTGCTTGTTACTGACATAGGGGAAAAAAGAGAAGGAGATTTTGGGGTGAGATGATTAATTCAGTTCTGAATATGTCGAGTTTGAGGGGCCTAAAAGAAGTCCAAATAAGACAATCCCATAGGCAATTGTGATATATATACACACACACACACACACACACACACACACACATATATAGATACATACATACAATACATAAATATGTATATATATGCACATGTATACAGATATATATACACAGAGTATATATATCTGTGTGTATATGTGTATATATATGTGTATATACATATACATACACACACACATATATATACATGTACACATATATGTGTATATATCTGAGGCTCAGAAGGCAGAACGATCGGTATTTACAAGTCATCCCTGTAAATACAGGTTTTTGGAGTTATCACAATCTAGGTGGCAATGAAATCTGTGGATTATATCCAAACTCCCAGAGAGACCACAGAGAAATTGCAGAGTTAGAAAAACAAAAGGGCTACAGGGAACCCCAACATTTAGGAGACTGGCAGAAGGAAGAACCTGGAAAGAAAACTGAAAGGGGGTGGTAAGAGAAGAAGAAGAAAGACTAGGAGAAATTGCTGAAATAAAAATTAAGGTAATAGAATGTTTCAAGAATGCCTAGCAGACAGTGGCAGGGCACACAGTGGAACAGTATTTGGATCTTCCCAAATTTCCCACATAAAGGGAGAGAGAGAAATGAAATCGCAAAACAAAACGTATAGAGAATGAGATTCAATCACAAGATACCCTGAAGACCCCCCAAAACCCAATGGGGGTGACAACAAGCCATCAACGGTCACAAACGCCACATGGTTTCAGCTTCTGTGTGGGAGAAGGCAGATGGGAGCAACAAGGTCCTTGACACACCTGAGAACAGAACCCCAATTTAGCCCAAGGAATTCACTGGAAGGTACTGTGGGGCAATTGGAGAACAGCAGCTGAAACTAACAGGGGTTTCCTCACTCTAATGCTCTTCATTTCTAAAAGAGTGAAGCCCACAGTAGGAAGGTCTCAAGAGGCTGGAGTGGCTTAACCCATCTGAACTCCTGAAGCTGAAGCTTCAGAGCTCCTCATAGGAAAGGCCTCCACACTGGACAAATGAAATCAAAATTGAGCATAGGAAAGAAAGGTATAGCTCAAATTAGGAGAAAGGAATAGAGACAAGAAATATTTTAAATCATGCCACCAAAAATGTTTAACATTGTATGAGAATAACCAAAGGTGCTTTATAACATTAGAAAAGTTACCAGAACAATGACTCTTTCTAAAAGTTCAGAAAAAGTAAATTTTTCACAAAAATGAGCAACAGAGAATTATCAAGTTCAAATTTCTTACAATGTTTCTATAAGACAAAAGAGAATAATAAGCAGAGTAGTATCCTGTAGAGAGTAAAAACATGCCAAAAGATATGTTCCAAAAATAAATCAAAAAGGGCCAGGCGCGGTGGCTCACGTCTGCAATCCCACCACTTTGGGAGCCGAGGAGGGTGGATCACTTGAGGTCAGGAGTTCAAGACCAGCCTGGCCAACATGGTGAAACCCCATCTCTACTAAAAATACAAAAATTAGCCAGGCACGGTGACACATGCTTGTATTCCCACCTACTTAGGAGACTGAAGTGGGAGGATCACTTGAATCTGGGAGGCAGAGGCTACAGTGAGAGGAGATCATGCACTTGCACTCCAGCCTGGGCAACAGAGTGAGCCTTCATCTCAAAATGATTAAAAAGTAAATAAATGAAAATGATTACATACGTGAAACGACCTAAAAGACATTAAGAAAATGACACAAGACACAAAAGATCAACATATATCAGAATTAGAAAAACTTACATGGGATAATAGAACTCAAGAAGAGTTAGAAACAAAAGAAGAAAGTCATTTTAGAAATGAGGACCAAACCAGAAGGAACACAAGAGGAATAACACACCAAATAATCCCTTAATAGAATAAAAAATTCAAATATTTTTTACATTCAAAAGGAAACAAAGACATTCAAAAGGGACTCAGGAGAAAGTGACAAATGTTGGAGATATGCAAAGATGATCCAACAAACAGACAGTTCCAAAGAAGAGTAATAAAACCAAAAGCAAAAAAGCCAAACAAATACTCAAAACTACAATTTCAGAGGATGGTTCTAACATTTTTTTAGAAAGATTTGAGGTTACGTATTAAAAGAGCACAAATCCACCTGAGGATATTAACCCAAAACAACCAATATTAAGAGGTAATCTAGTAAAATTGTTGAAATTTAAAGGAATTTATAAAAGAAATGAAATCAAGTTATCATAAGATTTGTTGGCAGCAATGCATTTTACCAGATAAATAAGGAATAAAATACTTTAGATTTTCAGATAAAATGACTGTGAACGAGAGATTTTATATCTAGCAAAACAGACCATCAAGGACAAAGGGCACAGAAAAACTGTGATCACTAGCAAAGGACTAAGGAAACAGTGCTCTTATGATTTCTTCCAAAATAATAGAAAGCAAGCTTTGAAGAACAAAGATGACTGCAGAGACATTGACATAAGGACGAGTGAAATATACAGCACGAAATATACAGCAACTTGTAGAACCAAAATGGAGTTAAAAGAGAGAGGGTGTTTAGTATGTAATAGCAGTATGATTTGAAAATGTAGACATGATACAGTCATTATGGGATGGGGATGGGCAGATTGGCCTATTAAAACATCTTTAAACTGCTTTGGTGATAATTATAAATTAGACATCCTGGTAATTATAATTATAAATTAGACATCCTGGTAAACATCACTCACTAATGGTTGTAGCATCAATATTATTACTCTGAGACTATTATATGTGTATACTATGGGATAGTAGGGGTTCTCTATCTTGGCATGACTTTTTTTTTTCAGAGACAGGGTCCCCCTCTGTCACTCAGGCTGGAATGCAGGAGTGTGATGGACCATAGTTCACTGCAGCCTAGACCTGAGCTCAAGCAATCCTCCCACTTCAGCCTCCCGAGTAGCTAGGACTACAGGCATATATCCCACCAACCATGATTAACATTTTGTGGTGGGAGGTTGTCCTGTGCATTTAGGATGTCTAGTGGCAACCCTGGCCCCTACCTCCTAGACACCAGTAACATCACCTCCACACAGTTGTGACAACCTCAAATGTGTCTGTGATGGTTAACACTGAGTGCAACTTGATTGAAGAATGCAGTATTGATCCTGGGTGTGTCTGTGAGGGGGTTGCCAAAGGAGATCAACGTTTGAGTCAGTGGGCTGGGGAAGGCAGGCCCACCCTTAAGCAGGTGGGCACCATCTAATCAGCCACCAGTGAATATAAAGCAGGCAGAAAAATGTGAAATGATGAGATGGGTCCAGCCTCCCAGCCTACATCTTTCTCCCGTGCTGGATGCTTCCTGCCCTCGAACATCAGACTCCAAGTTTTGGGACTCGGACTGGCTTTCGTTGCTCCTCAGCTTGCAGACAGCCTATTCTGGGACCTTGTGATTGTGTAAATTAATACTTAATAAAATCAGCTTTATATCTATGTATCTATATATCTATATATATATATAAAGGCATATATATATCTTTATATATAAAGGCATATATATATATAAATATATATATATATATGGGACTAAAGGGATATATTTATATAAAGGGACTAATACAGTATCTAAAAATTGCTAAACATCCCCTTAGGAGGAAACTCAGTCCTAATTGAGAATCACTTGGATAAAGCATTGAGGTGTGTGTATATATATATACACACACACACCCATATATATACATATTTAAACTCACCTATATATACACATCTATGTATATACTTAATACTATATATATATAATTCCTTTCATCAATATAGGCCTGATGCCTGTAATCCCAGCACTTTGGGAGGCTGAGGCAGGCGGGTCACTTTAGGTCAGGAGTTTGAGACCAGCCTGGCCAAATGGTGAAACCCCATCTCTACTAAAAATATAAAAATTAGCGGGGCATGGTGGTGCATGTCTGTAATCTCAGCTACCTGGGAGGCTGAGGCAGGAGAATCACTTGAAACCAGAAGGCAGAGGTTGCAGTGAGCCGAGATTGCGCCACTGCACTCCAGCCTGGGCGACAGAGCAAGACTCCATCTCAAAAAAAAGGCCTGAAAACAGTGACCAACCCAGTAACACAGAGCATCTATAGTACTAGGTTATATTAGCACTCGAAATATTAGTTCCCATTAAAGAGAAACCAGACTGGCTCAGCGCAGTGGCTCACACCTGTAATCCCACACGTTGGGAGGCCGAGGCGGGCAGATCACCTGAAGTCAGGAGTTTGAGACCAGCCTGACCAATATGGTAAAACCCCATCTCTACTAAAAATACAAAAAAATTAGCCTGGCATTGTGGTATGTTCCTGTAGTCGCAGCAACTCAGGAGGCTGAGACAGGAGAATTGCTTTAACCTGGGAGGTGGAGGTTGCAGTGAGCTGAGATCGGGCCACTGTACTCCAGCCTGGGCGACAGAGCTAGATTCTGTCAAAAAAAAAAAAAAAAAAAAAAAAAAAAAGAAAGAAAGAAAGAAAAGAAAAGAAAAGAAAAGAAACCAGCCCAGGCATGGTGGCTCTTGCTTGTAATCCCAGCACTTTGGAAGGCTGAGATGGGAAGATGACTTGAGCTCAGGAGTTCAAGACCATTTTGGACAGCATAGCAAGACCCCCATCTCTACTAAAATTAAAAAAAAAAAAATTAGCCAGGCATGGTAGCACACACTTGTAGTACCAGCTACTCGGGAGGCTGAGGTGGGAGGATTAATTGAACCCAAGAAGTTGAGGCTGCAGTGAGCTATGCTCACATAATTGCACTCCAGCCTGGGTAACAGAGGGAGACCCTTTCTCTAAAAAAAGTAAGAAATAAAAATCCAGAGCTTGTTGGGAAAATGCTGGGCTTCAGGTATGGAGCAGGAAATATACAAGATGTTCCTGGAATATCTTGGTCTACCAGATAGCAAGAAAGAAATTAAAGACCACTAGCCATGTTAAAAAGACTCAGGATCTAACCTAAGAAGGCTCAAACTAGTCAGAGGTGGAGCAACTTGATATTCAATAAATATAAGATTTATAACATATTGAAACTAAATATGTTTAAATTCATGGGTTCATAATAATATTTTTTCAAGCAGTTGATTATCTTCAGAAGACAACAGAGAACTAAGTCATTACCTTGAAAACTTATAAAGAAATGAATCAAGGATTTATCCAGCTTTTCCTCCACTAACCAAACAGATGGGCAAAAGTGTCTCTTTTAAAAACGTTTCAAACTAATAAATAAAAAGAAATGACAGATTAGAATATAACCATGTTGCAGACCCCAGTGATCTAATGGATATAGGTGTTGAGAATCAATGGCTGTTAATAGTACAAAAAGATAAACAACCAGACATAATATGCATCCTGATGAAAGAACACACCACCACCTATGGTCTTGCCAAAGAAATCACACCCAAGTCTGACCAAGTGTTTTAGGCCCAGCTGGCAATTTGCAGGAAATAAGGAGGACAGAGTAACATGCTAAACTGCACCAGGAATATGCAATTAGCAAAATTCACATTGTGAGAAAACTCTATAATAAAGGGGCCCCAGTTCTTCCACAGTGAAATTGTTAAGGATAGAAAGGCGTGGAAAAGATGAAAGCGATGAATAGTCTGAAGATGAAAAGAGACCTAAACGATATATTGATTTTTTTTTTTTAGTGGGCAAGACTAAGCTATAGTATCTAGGGATACATACATGAGTGACAAAACCTTACAGAAACGTCAAGATGGATGCTTAGAAATATGTGGGACAAAAACAAAGAATGTCAGGTTAGTGGCTACTTGTGGAAGAAAAATCTTCTGGGGTGGCAGGCATAGTTCTATTTCTTGGCCTGAGTGATGTTTACCAGGATGTCTAATTTGTAATAATCACTGTTATACGCTTATTCTCTGCGATTTTCTGTATCTGTTTTTATTTTATTTTATTTTTGTAGAGACAAGGTCTTGCTCTGTCACCCAGGCCAGAAGGCAGTGGCATGACCATAGGTCACTGCACCCTCTAACTCCTGGGCTCAAGGGATCCTCCAGCCTCAGGCTCCCCAGTAACTGGGACTACAGGTTTGTGTCACTATGCCCAGCCTGTTTTTATTTGATAATGTAAATATTAAAACAGAGAGAGGTGGGAGAAGTTGTTATCAAAAAGAATGTTTCTATATCTACTCAACTAGTGACTGAGTGGTCATTTTTTTTCATGGTTTTGATCAGTTTTGGTTTTGGTGATTTGGGTCAGTTTTGGTGGAGCAATATAGCTGTAAAACAGACATAAGTAGGGTGAAGTGTGAATGGGAAAGGAGAAAGAGGAAAGCACAAGTATAGATAACTCTTTCAAGAAATAGAGCTGTGAAGGAAACTGAGAGATATGGCAATACATAGAGAGTTACGTCTAGAAAGGAGAGAGAAGTGTTTAAATGCTGCGGGAAGCAGCCAGCAGAGAGAGGTAAAAGGATATAGGGGAGAGACTCAATGGCCAAAACTTAAGAAATTTGACAACTAAAATTAATTATCATAGAACTAGATAATCCATTTTTTAAAAAAGTAAAACCCATGAGTCTATGGTAATGTCATTCATTCATTCACTCAATAGAGGAGGAGAAGGGAAAGCTCTTCCTTCTAGTAAAATGTCAACTAATAAATGTGGAAGGAATGGTAGAGTTGGAAGGTAGTGAGTGAAAGATTAATGAAGAACAGAATATTAATATAGTCTCAAATTATCCCCCAACAATACCTTATTAATTACAATGGGAAAAATAATAACTTTACAGTATAGTAATATGGCAGACATCACTTTAACCAAGTGAATATTACCAATATTGGACTGGAGCAAACCAGTATCAAGTATCTTCTGTAAAATATACTGAAAGAGATGCAAAATTATACTGGTGATATCCCTGCCAAAAATGAAAAACTTAAATTCAGATCATGAAGAAGCCACAGACAAACCCAAATTAAAGGACATTCTAAAAATTAATTGGTATTTACTCTATAAAATTGTTAAAGTCAAGAAACACAAAAGAAAAGGTGAAGAACCATTGAGGAACTATTTCAGATTAAGGAAACTAAAGCTATATGACAATTAAATGCAAGAGTCCTCCCAGACTGGATCCTACAGCAAGAAAAGGAAATAACTATAAAGGTGTGGTAATTCCTCAAAGAGCTAAAAGCAGAACTACCATTCAACCCAGCAATCCCATTACTGGGTATATACCCAAAGGAATATAAATCATTTCATCATAAAGACACATGCATATGTATATGCATTGCAGCACTATTCACAATAGCAAAGACATGGAATCAACTTAAATGTTCATCAATGGCAAATTTGATAAAGAAAATGTGGTACATATACACCATGGAATACTATGCAGCCATAAAAAAGAATGAGATCATGTCCTTTGCAGGGACATGAATGGAGCTGGAGGCCATCATCCTTAGCAAACTAACATAGAAAGATAAAACCAAATACCTAATGTTCTCACTTATAAATGTGAACTAAATGATGATAACTCATAGACACAAAGTGAGACACAAAGTGAGACATAAACAAGCACTCTGGCCTACTTGAGGCTGGAGGGTAGGAGGAGAGAGAGGAGCAGAAAAAAGTAACTATTGGGTATTCAGCTTAGTGCCTGAGTGATAAAATAATCTGTACAACAAATCCCTGTGGCATGACTTTACCTATATAACAAACCTTCACATGATCCCTAAACCTATAATAAATGTTTTCTTTAATAAATAAAATAACTATAAAGGACAGTAATAGGAAAACTGATGGAATTTAAATATGAACGCTGGATTAAGTAATAGCGTTATGTCAATGTTAAACTTTGTGATTTTGATCATTGCCCTATGGTTATGGAGGAGAATTTCATTGTTCTTAGAAAAGAAACCTGAAGTATTTAGGAGTTAAGAGCTAAACTGTCTCTGCCAATGGATCTGAAATAATTCCTCATGGAGAGAGAGGGGGTGCTAAAGTAGATGAGGCAAAATGAAAATAATTGGTGAATTTGGGTAAATGGGATTTTCTTGTACTATGGCTGCACCAGCTTTATAGGTTTGAAATAACATCAAAATAGAAAGTTAAGGGAGAGAAGAGGAATGACTGATGGATTGCGGTCAGTGAGGAGATGAAAGATAATAGGATTTAGAGTTCATGTGGAAGGAAAAACCTGAGATTGGAGGAGAATTCCTTTCACCACTGTAAAAGGAGGAAAAGGGGGTAGATGGGTTTTGATGTCCGTTTTCTGTATTGGTTGAGTTGGGGGAAGAAAGACTTGGTTTTATCATTTTATCAGCAAGGAAATTAATCTCTATATTGGTCACTTCCACTTCTGAAAATCAACGAAAAAAGGAGTAAGCACAAGCTTGGAGCATATGGAACACTGAGTCTTAGGATATGCAAAGGAGAGGTTTAAGCGGACTGTGTGAGCCCATAAGCCTCCTCCTTTGTATGTGGGAGAGAGACTGGGAGGAGGAGAGCATCAATCATGCAGGAGGGTCCCCCCACTCACTGTTATTGGGGAGAGAGTGGTTCAGAACATAGTAAGGCACTTAACATCCATTAATGCCCAAGTGAGTATGCCCAGTTTTGGTACTGCTTCTGAGTTTCCCTTGTCAGTTTGCATAGAATGAGCTTTTGGGCTCTTTTGAAACTAAGGCATAAAACGTGTTTCACCTGCAAATTGTTTGTAAAACTGTTTGCTTAGTCATGGCTCAAATTTAAAACCTGTTTGTGGAAAGATGAAATCTTACAACAAATGGTGAAATATTCAGGTTATAAACCTGGTCTCTGTAAGTACAGAACAGCATTGCTTTCATGGTTTTCTATCACAATGCCCCAAAGAGACCAATAATCAAGATAGATGCAATGCTCTTTCACTGAAAAGTGGGCTTTTCTTCCTTCTGATCTCTCAAAATTTTCACCGTTACCTCTTTACAGCTTGTTATAGCAATGATTCAATCAATGGCAAGATGCACTATAAAGGCTTAAAAATGAGTAAAAATATGACCACCAGAGACATCTTCATCCTTACAATGGTAAGACTGTTCAAATACAAAGTTTAAATATACTGTTCTCTACACATGGGAAAAGATAATGCTATCAGGTTTTTTTTTTTTTTTAAATGAGAGTGTCTACCCATTTAAATGAAGTAAAAACCTGTTCCTTTAATTTTAGAAGTTAGAAAATTTATTAACTGGATATTTCTAGATCCTGTTCCTCTCAAAAAATTTTACTGAAACAGATGGGTAGATTCACCCCAGATTCCATAAGAGAAAGAGGTTTGTACAAGTTCTTCCCAGGCTAGGGTCTAGACTAACATTTTCAAAATTGCATATTTGGTGGGTCTTTCTGAGGGGAAACAAAATAATCACCATATTGTTCAAAGAATTACTATGACATATGTCTTTGAAATAACCCTTTTGGGAGAAATAAATGTGTGGAGAAGAATTGCATATATGTCCTCTCTCAGTCATGAACTGAACAATCAGAAAATATAGAGAATCCATCAACTTGTGAAGCACAGTTTTGTAAGGTTACTCATGGAATTAACAAGCAAAAACCTCTCAGCAGCTTATGTCAATTTTTCAAACAAAAAAAAATCATTTATTCACAAGTTACCCCAAATACTTGTTTTTACTGTTTACCTGACATCTAAAGTAAAATACAGAATAAAATAAATTTCTCACCAATAGTTCATTAGTTTCCTCCTGATGTCTCTTGGCACTATTTAAAGATTTTGAATAACTTGATTTTATGGCTTAAAATATCTTAAGATGTACTGGACCAGAATGGCTAGCTCTCTCATTACCTTGCCCTTCAAGGAGAGTTTTTTTTAAGCTCAGGATGAAGAGATGAACAGGAGAGGGGGCTTAGTGAGCCTCAGAAAGGGGCAGGCTACATCCACCCCTTGGAAGTTCAAGTTTATTATGTGATGCTACACCTGTGAATACGTTTCTTAACTTTCTATTAAAAGTTAAAAGCATCCAACTTAAAAAATATTGTTTTACAGTAAACTATATATAAATAACTTATAACTCTGTCATTGTGGCATGGCTGTTTTCCTTTATGTATATATTCTTCTTCATGAAAATATATTTTTCATATAGTTATAATAACATCACAAGCATCATATTTTTCAATTTTTTTTTCCTGCTTGTATCAGTCATATTCGGATAGAGGAATCTAGGAATCCTGGCTTGGGAGGCAGTCCATGAGTCCTTCTTACTTTCAGTCCTCTGATGAGATTACTCAGAAAGTTGGACAAGTGACATTGACTACTAGAAGGACTGCTGGCCCCAAATAGCTGGACCTTGGGCTCCCCAAAGATGGCGCAGGCAGCAGGCTAAGGAGGGAAAGTTATGTATGCATTCTTGTATACAATGCTGGTGGAGAGATGGGGAAGGACTCACAAAGCACAGGAAAATCTGCACCAAGATCTGGGACAAACGAATTTATATTGGATATAGGGCTAAAGGCAAATGGGTTTATGCATGACTGTCAAAACTATTAAGACAGTCACTGGAAAAAGAGAAAGAGAGGCATAGAGTAGAGATTTCCATTTGTTAAAGTCACTTCTATTAGCCACTTACATTTTTCATACAGTTATAACATTATATGCACTGATCTAAAAAATTTCATATATTATAACTTCATATAGTTATAATAACATTATATGCAATGATGAAAAAATATTCAATTTTTTTTCTGCTTGGATAAGTCACATTAGGACAGATGAATCTAGGAATCCTGGCTTAGGTGGCAGTCCTTGAGTCCCACTTCTGTTAGTCACTTAATAGCCACTTACTAACTGGCTACTAGTCATTTGTATTTCTGCTTGTTTCATGCCCTTTGCCAATTCTTCTATTGAGTTACAATTGTTCTTATATAGAAGGGATGTTAATCCTTAGTGTCCCACTGTAAGATGTTTCCTGTTTATAGAAGTTTTTGTTTTTTATATAGCCCTAAATATTCTAGCATTGTCATTAGTTATTATTTCTGTTGTTTTGACGTATCAAAAGTTTTCATCACCTACAGATTTATTAAATCGTCTCATAAAATTTTCTGTTGTTTTTGGTGGTTTCACTTTTTTACATTCATTTTTCTTTTTTCAATTTTTAATTTTTTTTATTATACTTTAAGTTCTGGGATACATGTGCAGAATGTGCAAGTTTGTTAAGTCTATGCAGAGTTTTTCATTTTATATAGATAGATAGGTAGATAGACAGATAGATAGATAGATGTAGAGAAAGGGTACATCAGCCTTTTATTATAAATAATAAAGTAATAAAGACCATTAGCATATTTTTGCTACTGCTGAAAAGGTTCCTTCTGATGAATTCTTAGTATCACTAGTCAAAGATGTCTTTGGCTCTTAACTCTATTTTCTAGAAGAATTATATTAACTGAAATGTAACTTGTAATGAATGTTGTTGGCAGGTAGTTCTGTAAGGTTTTGTTTTTATACCTTTTCACTCCCTATTCTGAGATCCACTATGAGAGATGGATATGATTTTATTCATGGGAACCAAGACTGTTTTGATAGGTCATGATGTCACATGAAATACTTCTATATGCCAGGTTCCTAATGGGAGCCACGCAAAACTAACAGAAAGCATGAACTCCTCTCTCTGGGAGCTCTACAAATGCTACATGTATAAATTTTTTTATCAGAACGATGGTAAATTAAATAAAAGGTTAACTAGTATAATGACTTTAATAATACGGAACATACTGATAAAAACTAGAAAAGCAGAATGCTATGTTCACTGAGCTATATACATAGATGTACATACATAAAAGGTAGTAAGGTAATGAGGGATACCAGGTTGGACAACTCTAGATGTTGAATTCTATGTAAACGGTGAATTCATTGAATTCTATGTAAATGGTGCATCCTGGTGTTTTACACAACTGTAGATCTGCAGGTAATATACACATCACTGGAATTCAAACATTGCTTTTGGGTGATAGAACTGTGTCTTTTTTTTTTTTTACTTTTTCTATACAATCTTCTGTATTTTAACTACATCTGAAAATAAAGTTCTGGTGCTTTAAAAACATATTTGAAAGCCACCAACCTAATTATATGGCCTCTTGTCATCTCAGATAATGTGTGAACAGAGAATTTGAATTGGAAAATAAATCTAAGCTACCTATTGAGTTTGATAATTAAATCTGGAATTTAAACTAGTGAATAGATAACCAAATTTAGCCATTGGATTATGAATTGTTCAATTTAATTATTCACCTAATATTTATTGAATGCCTGTATATCAGGAACTGTACCGGGGGACAAAAGCAAAAACATTCACAAATAAGTATAATATAATATCACAGAAGAAGATGTAATACAATGCATAATCAGAACACAATTGATTTTAGAATTGGTGCCCAATTCTAAAAGAAAGTGCCCGATAAATATGTATGAGTGAATGATGGATGATGAATAAATGAATATTATACCAATTTAGATGTCAAAGCAAAAGTGACATTTGGAGTTCACACACAGTTCATTTTATCCACAGGGCATGGGCTAGATGGAAGGTGGAGGAGAGGAGGTTTACTCAAATCCTGATATTGAGCACAAATTACACATGACAGATACAAAACAATGTGTCAGACATATTGTAGATTTATGACAATTATAACTGGACCATTTTAAAAGCCAGCCATATATTTAGACAGTTCTTAGTAGGAGCCATTCAACTAAATGTCAAATACCTAGCAAGTACTGTGATGCTTTACTCATTCATTCTATAGATAGCACTTACTATGAACAGCCTAAAAGTCAACCAGCAAATACTATGACACTTTATTCATTTTATCTATAGACAGTATTATGTTTGAGGCCCTGTGTTAGAAACTGGGGATAAGGAAAAGAAGCTCATAGCCTAGGAGGAAATACTTGTTATCATCATTGTGATTACAATGGAAGCGTGGACCTGGCATTATGGGAGTGTCAGGGAAAGAAATATAACAAGGCTATGAAGTCAGTCTTTAGGAGTTGGTGTGAGAATATTGAAGGATAAAAGAGACTTATACAGGGAAAGAAGAACTTACTAGGCAGAAAGAAGACTATGCACAAGGATGAGGAGGTGACAGAAAGCAAAATATCATTAGAGGCCAGCAAGTGTGGTCTGACTAGAAGAGGTGATGCTTGTGGAAATAGGATGATGGAGGGCAATTGCTGAATGGGAAAAATCTGGGGCCTCTGAATGTCATGCTAGGGAATCTGAACTGCATCACAGAGAAATAAGAAATCACCAAAGACCACTGTTGCTAGGCAGAGCAAACATCTGCCTGTTTTGAAGGTTTTAGGCTGATTTTTAAATTTAGGATTGTTTGAGATAGAAGATTCTAAAAGGAAATGCATTTTAAATGACCTAAGTTTTTACATTGACAAGCTGTGTGTAAAAGACAGTCAGCTTGACCCAAGGAAAATGACTTGCAGAATTTTAGTGTGCAAAATATTTATCTTAACCACTTACTGAAAAGCTTCTTCTCTTCCTTGAAATTGTTGGCATAGTTATCCCTTTCCAGATTACTAAACAATTAATCTTTTTTCTGTTGATGTATTAACTGCCATTTTTCTCTAATAGTCCCATTTAGGATCAAATCCAAGTCATCTGTCCCTCTCCGGGTACCAGGAGATAAGTTCCCAGGTCAGGTGGTGCACAGAGGCCCTTGTAGTTTGAAACAATGCCAGTAAGCAGTGTAAAAACTGACACCTCGCCCCATTAAGACACCTAAGCCATAGAAAGAGACTGATTCATTTCAATTACGTATGAATCTCTCTCCTTCTCCATGGTGGTAGCACCAGCAATGTCTGAAGTTTGGTTTTGTCTTTGGTTTGTAATTCCAGATTACAGCTTCCTTAGCATCCAAAAGATTATACTAGTTTCTACACAGAAAATTGTTAGTAATAACAGTTTCTACCCTAACAATTTTTGTAAAACTTCTCTTCTGGGCATTCTGTGTATTCACTAATTGGCAATTCTTTAGATCCCCCCAAAAATCATTCTACCTAATTTAATTTCATATACTTGGCATTTTTTAAATGTGTCAAATAATCATGGTGTTTCCCAATTTTTCAGATGAAAATGTTTCTTTACAGAGATGGGAAAAACCATTCCAGATCTGAAAAAGAGCATAAGCAAGACTCTCAGGAATGAGAGTGTACAGAAAATTCCAGAAGGCCACTGTGGCCACAACGACTGGTACATCTGAGAGGTAAGCCTCCAGCAGGAGGTGGTCTCATACATCACAGAAAGACAGGACTGAGGGGCACTTCCTGGAAGCAGATGGGTGTGAATGAAGGACTTCAGGGTAAGCCAATGACATGCTCAATTTGAATTTTAAGGATTCATTCCTGTATTATTGAAGAGAATGGATTGAAGAGAGCATTCCTTGGATTCTGGAGACCACGAGAAGCCTATTCAAATACCCAGAACAAAAAACGATGAGGCAGTGGGAACCGAAGGTACAGAAGATACTTACGAGGAGGAAAAAGTGACTAGACTTGATTATTGGCTGGATCTTGCAAAATAGAGAAAATTCAGGAATTTAGGATGACCCCAAGCTTCCTTCATTGTATCCTCTGGGTAATAAAGCAGATTCTACAAAAAAAGAATACAGGAGAAAGAAGTTTTGAAATCTATAGTGATAACAGCTAAATTTATTGCATCCTTCTTGATCATTCACTGTGCTGAACGCTTTGTATTATCTTATGTCCAAATCGAGTTCGATTTGGGGCATGATGAGTTTTGAGAGGTCCACAACTATCCAGGTCAACATCCTCACCATCGGCACGTAGGATATATGAGCCTGCAGCTTAGAAGAGCTGGTTGGTTTGGAATCAGACTTTTAGAGTCCTGACGATAAGAATAGCTAACATGTATTGAATGCTTACCACATGCCTGGCACTGTTCTAAGCACTTATGTAATTTACACGTTTAATTCTCACAACACCCATAGGAGGTAGGAATGAATTCATTATGCATCATGAATTCTTTTTCATGAAATAGGAAAAAGAGGTTCAATAATGAATGTTAACTGGCTTGCTAAGGTCACAGAGCTAGTATACAGCTGAGCCAGAATCTGAATCAGGGATCATATTCTTAATTCCTCAACCTTGAGGTTGAAGACTCAAAGAAAGTAGCCAAAGTAAGAACCCTGGACCACACCAGGGCTCCTTTAACAGTAGATTCACTCTATGGCATTTTCAATTGTGTACTGATATTCTACAACCCAGGGAGCAAATGTCATGTCCTGTAGGGAATTTAGTTTTAAAAACTGGGTTTGAAATTTTCCTTTGTGTGATTTTAGACAAGTAAATTTATCTTTGTGAGCTTCCATTTTTCCTCTTCATCTGTCAAAGTTGCATAATATCACCCAAAAGAACTTTTCAAGAATGAAATAAAATGAATTTATTTGAAAGTGCAGCACATGGTGAGCACTCTCTAAAAGTCTATCATAAATTCAACTCTCCTCAGTCTCCAATAGCTTATTCACTTCTGAAAGTAACCACCATCACAGAATACAGAGAACAGAAAGTGGGGGAAAGATGGGATTGCAAACTGCTCTCCTTCTACGTCTTTTTTTTTTTTTCATTTTCAAAATTAACACGTTCAGGTAAGAAGGTAAGGCAAGAATATTTTTATCCACCCTAATTCAAGAATTGGAGTGAGTAGGTGATTATGTCTCTATCTTAGAGAAAGGAGAATTATGAAGTGTTACAACTTCTCAGGCCAGTACTGACTCTGTGTACTATAGCTACATAATATAGTCATCCCTCAGTATCCACCAGGATTGGTTCCAGGACCCCTGCAGGTACCAAAATCCAGGATGCTCAACCCCTTAATATAAAATAGTATGGCATCCGTATATAACCTACATACATCCTCCCTTATATTTTGAATCATCTTTAGATTACTTATAATACCTAATACAATATAAATGCTGTGGAAGTAGCTATTATACTGTATTGATATTTTATTTGTATTATTTTTTATTGTTGTATTATTACTTTTTGGTTTTCTTTTCAAATATTTTTGATCTGCAGTTGGTTGAATCTACTGATTCAGAACCCCTGGATATGGAGAACCAAGTGTAATTTCTTTAAAATGTTGTATATTAAAACATCTACAGCTATTTTGCATTCTCATATCATCAACAGTATTATTGCTGTCATTTAATTTTTAAAACCTTGAACTTTATGACTTTACAGTTTTTCTGTATTTAAGTGTAGCTTTATTGTATCTTGAAAATAGAATATTTTCCCTAAATACACAACTCTCTAATTGTTTTTATTGAACAAAGGCTTAAGTCTCTCAAGTACAGAGAGAATGTCTTGCAATTATTTAATACCATCCTTAGGTACCCAGGACAGTTTGGAAAACTTAACAGTAGTTATTGAATACAAAAATACATTCTATACACATTTCATAAAGAATCATTCTGCTAGAAGGTCACTTTCGGGATCACTGCTGTACTTAAATTGTAGCATGATTTGGGCATTTGGGAAAACTTGCCAGTAAATAAGCTTTGAGAAATTTGGCAGAACTATTTTTAAATAGTTTAAAATTTTAAACTATTTTTAAATGCATGGCTTCAGTCTTTCTCCATTCTTTTTTTTTATTATATTTTAAGTTTTAGGGTACATGTGCACAATGTGCAGGTTAGTTACATATGTATACATGTGCCATGCTGGTGTGCTGCACCCATTAACTCATCATTTAGCATTAGGTATATCTCCTAATGCTATCCCTCCCGCCTCCCCCCACCCCACAACAGTCCCCAGAGTGTGATGTTCCCCTTCCTGTGTCCATGTGTTCTCATTGTTCAATTCCCATCTATGAGTGAGAACATGTGGTGTTTGGTTTTTCATCCTTGCGATAGTTTACTGAGAATGATGATTTCCAATTTCATCCATGTCCCTACAAAGGACATGAACTCATCATTTTTTATGGCTGCATAGTATTCCATGGTGTATATGTGCCACATTTTCTTAATCCAGTCTATCATTGTTGGACATTTGGGTTGGTTCCAAGTCTTTGCTATTGTGAATAGTTCTTGAAGTTGGTTATAATCCACTTGATTAAACTATAATACGTAGTATGTTGATTCTTGAACAACAGTTTAAACTGCCAGGGTCCCTTTATGTATGGAGTTTCCTCTGCCTCTGTCACCCTTGAGACAGCAAGACCAATGCCTCCTTTTTCTCCTCCTCCTCAGCCACTCAATGTGAAGATGATAAGGATGAAGAACTTCATGGTGATCCTTTTCTACTTAATGAATATTAAATATATTTTCTCTCCCTTAAGATTTTTAAAATAACATTTTCTTTCTCTAGCTTACTTTATTGTAAGAATAGAGTACATAATACATATAACGTAGGAAATATGTATTAACTGATGGTTTATGTTATTGGTAAGGCTTCTGGTCAACAGTAGGCTATTAGTAATTACATTTTGGGGGATTCAAAAGTTATACACAGATTTTCAACTTCGCAGGGTTGAAACCCTAACACCTAACCCCCACGTTGTTCAATGGTCAACTGTACTTTAGAATCCGTCAATATTTCCTTCTTTCCAACTTTCCAAGTCAGAGGCATGAAATTCCCATTTCATACTCTATAATTTAGGTATTAATCTTTGACTCATCCTTGACATTCTGCGTACACCTACACAAAGTCTTTCAGTCTTGCAAAATACCACTGTTTCAGGGTTTAGCAAATGTAGGCCTACAGATCTTTCCCGCTAGGAGAAAAGTACCTCTTCCGACTTCTTGCTCTTTCCTGCTCCCTCAAACTACTTTAACATAAGACAAGTTTTTATCCTAGTGCTGTCTCTACTAACTTTTAAAAATTGTTGTTATAAGTGTTTTAAGTTAATTGATTGAAACTCTTGCAAGAGCTTACTAAAAACTTGAATGTTTCTTTTTTTTTTTTTTTTTGAGACAGAGTCTTGCTCTGTCACCCAGGCTGGAGGGTAGTGGTGCGATCTCGGCTCACTGCAACCTCCACCTCCTAGGTTCAAGTGATTCTCCTGCCTCAGCCTCCAGAGTAGCTGGGATTACAGGTGTGTGCCACCACACCTGGTTAATTTTTTGTATTTTTAGTAGAGATGGGGTTTCACTGCGTTAGCCAGGATGGTCTCAATCTCCTGACCTCGTGATCTGCCTGCCTTGGCCTCCCAAAGTGCTGGGATTACAGGAGTGAGCCTCTGCGCCCGGCCTCGAATGTTTCTTAAAGAATATGCCATCATTCATTCATCAGTGAGACCTTCAGACATTGCCCTCACACCATCCTGCTGCACAGCAGCTGAGGCTCCAATTATGAATACACTCCTAGCATTATGCTCTCATTATATTAAAAAATTCTATTATATTTAAATTGAATTTAGATTTCTGCTTCCCTTTAGGACTTCTTAGTACAATGAATCTTTTTCCCTAGCTACACAATAGAATCCATCTGGGGGAGCTTTTAAAATACTAATGCTTGTTCCTCACCCCTGAACAAATAAATCAGAATCTCTAGGGGGAAAGTCGGAGCTTCAATATATCGTTAAAGGTCTGAAGGTGCTTGGAAGGTGCAGCAAGGGTTTAAACTAGTGTTTTAGCAATTTAGAGGGTACTTAAGTTGAGTCTAGCCAGGTCTGCCCAATTATCTTCAGGGCAATACAAAGGCAAGACTTTGGTCAAGTCTAACATATAATGCAGGATTTTAAACTTTGTTTAAATCTTAGACCAGTCAGGCAACATAGCCAGATCTCATCTTTACAAAGACTGTTTCTAAAAAATTAGCTGAAAATAGTAGTACACGACTGTAGTCCCAGCTCCTCAGGAGAGTGAGGCAGGAGGACCGCTTGAGCCCATGAGTTTGAGGCTACTGTGAGCCATGATTGCACCATTGCACTCCAGCCTGGGCAACAGAGAAAGACCCCCTCCCTAAAAATTTTTTTTAATAGAAAACAATTACAAAATTTTTAAAAATTTCATTAAAATGCAGATTCAGATTCAGTAGGTCTGGGTGGTGCCTGGGATTCTGCATGTCTAACAAGCTGCAGGTGAATGACACAAATTATGCTGTGTGGATCACTTTGACTACCAAGGATATAATGCATTCGAATATTCCACTTACTGGTTCTTAACTCCTTCTGTATTCTGAGATCCTAAAAAATAACGATGACTGGGCCTAACCCCTGTGCAAATTTAACCGGACTGATTAGTCAGAATCAGAATCTCTGGGGCAGGGCATAGGCTCAAGAAGCTCCTCAGCTAAGTCCAAAGGACAACAAGTGACTGAAACCAGAATGTTCTAGCCTACCTTATGTAACCTATCTTGGGTAAACGAATTGCATTTGCTGCTATAAAATACCTAATTGCTAGAATTTGGAGGCTTAGACTGTGGCATAGAGGCTAATTGGGTGAGTTCCCCTAAGGTTTCATTTCAGATCAAAAGGTGGGAGAAATTCAGGAAGAAGACATTGAAGAATGCTTCATTGACTACTGGCATTAAAAAAATAATCATCATCTAAGTATTTTTACACGGTAGGATAACCCTAGCTACTAATGTAGTCATACCCAAACCAGAACCCTGTCAAGAGATTCTGAATTTGGTAGGCAGAGACTGACCACTCTGATTTGTCTCTGGCTCCTCTGATCATCTGTGAATCCTCAATTGCCCAATCCAATAAAGAATTCTTAGATATGTGACATCTTCCATTCTCCTCTTTGATTCTTCCTTGGTTTCCAGAGCAACGAACCTCTTTCTCCTTGTTCCTCTCAATTTATGTCAAAGCCTTCTCTTTCCTCCTTCGATGTTTTCTTCCTTCAAGGGTCCATCTGTAAACGATTAAAGAAGAGATCAAGAGATCACATTCATTCTCAGTGCTTCGACTTCCAAACATGCTGATTGAGAATCCATATCTTTAGGTGTGACCTCTCCCTTTACACCCAAATTTCCTACTGTCTTTAAAACATCTACTCTAGAATGTTTCTGAGGGACTTGAAATTAAAAGTGATTCAAATTGGATTTCACCTTCTTAAGTCAAATCCTCCTCATGTTATGCCTGGACTCTGTCAGTTGCTTCTTAACAAGATTACCTGCCTCAGTCTTGACTCTAGAGAAGGAAGCCGGACTATATCCTTCACAGCGTGATTCCTGCTTACCTTTTTATCCTCTTCTGCCAATACCTGAACCTCTCCTGTACAAGAATCTGTCCAACTTCTTATTCCTCCTGAGATAAGCTGGACTCTCCCTAGCTTCCACAACTTTACTCAGGATGCCCCATCTGTCAAAGATTCTCTTCCCCACTTTATCTTCCTGTTAAACTCAGTTCCTCAAAATTTAAGTCAAACACTCTCTAAAGTCCAAGATGAGTGGGTTAAATTCCCTCCTCCACGCCTCTGTTAAAAACAGCACGTTAAACTGAATTGCAATTATTTGTCTTACAAATCTCTCCTTCCACAAAACTAAACCCCCCCCATCCCCTAGAAGAGGAACTCTATTATTTCTTTTTTTGTTTTGACTGTTAGCATCACTAAAGGAAGTGCAGAATGAATGGCTTGCACTAAATGAATCCTAATGTTGCCATCTTTGACTCTCTATAAGAATTCAGCTTGCTCAATAAACATTTATTTGTTTAAGCTCAAATTGATTGCTTAGCTGCCCTAGAGAGCAACAGAATTAAGAGATGTCGATTTAGCAAATAGAAAAAACAAATAGTCATGTATTAGGATGAATTCAAATGTATAAATGATAGTTTTTATTAAGCAATGTGATAGCTGTTTCTGTATCCTTCATTCCACAGTTTAGCCCTAGGGGGAAAAAAAAAGCAGCGTGTTCACCATTATAAAACCAACTCGAGATTTGTCCAGAAAAGGTGTGGCAGTTTCAGGCGTATTTTTATTGTACCATGTTTTACATGGCTTTGCAGCCATTGAAGTTTGAACAATGCCAAATTTCCAAGCTAAATGCTATAAGTGGAAATTGGAGGCTACAGTTAAGTGAACAGAAATAGAACTGACAACCTAAATGCGTCAACATCCATGGAAAGTGACATCAGAAGTTTTGGTGTGCTATTACTTTTTTTTTTTTTTAAGGTGAGTGGGTGTTTTAAAACTTTTAAATGTTTAGAAAGTGGTTCAGCTTGGTTTTTTTTTTTAATATAATGTTTTTAACATGAAAGAAGTTCTCTATAAGGATTAAAAGCCATGTGAGTGCCAATGAATTTAAAATGTGTTTATGGCTAAAAACAGGGATATCAAGAAAGATGGTAGCTATCTCCCAAAAGATCTTATAATTTGGGGATTATGATAATAATCCCAAGTATATAGAAGAGGCCCCTGGAGTGTTGATCTCTTCATGACTATCAACAAAATGGACTGCCAGGGAACTGCATCACTGCTCGGTTCTGCATAAATCATTTGATGACAGTCTCCTTGCTGATATCCAAAAATTTTCCAAATGGATTTGTTAAGAGGACAGAAGAACAGATCGATTTAAAGTTTTTGAGCACAAAAGCTGAAAACATTCCCAGGCAATTATTCTCTATCATTCCACATACAGTTGTTGGTGTTATTACCTTCAGAATGAATTTGTGAGTCCAGAAAAGAACATGTAGATTATTCTATTAAAATATTGCACTATTACTGGTGGATAGCAGTTAGTAAAATGTCTGCTGAAGCAAAGTTAGTTTTTCCACTTTCCCTGCCTCTACGCACACACCTGTCTTATAGAACACTCACGCTTATCAGATTTGGAGTCTGTTTTCTTCAGTAGACTGAGTTCTTTGAATGTAATCATTTTATTTTTAATCATATTTTAACGTTTAGCACCTCACCAGTGCCTGACTCTTTTGTAAGCCAGAAGTGGTTTAATACCAGCGATTTCATATTGTTTAATCTAATAACTGTTCAATATTTAATAAACAATGCTCAATTACTTCATTCCATTGATCAGAATTGAACTTTTCAAGAAAAAAGTCAGCATTTATTCCACAAATTTCATGTTTTATGATGTTTATGAATCGATAGCAAATGTCAGTTAGTCAATTAATCAAATCTAGCCAGCTTGATACTATAGCGATTGGTCCAGTTTTTATGGCATAAACAATTCAGTTCTCATAGATACCAAATAAGAACTCTGTGCTTCATTTTTTCTGATAAATAAATTAAATTTTTATATCTCTTTTGATTATGAAAATATTTATTCTAAGAACAGTTTTTCATTGTGTGTTCATGTTTGTATGTTATATATATACATAGCTTTTGGCTTTTCTCAATATTTCTTAAAGACAAACAAGAAACTAAAATGGAAAAACATGTCATTCTGCCGATTTCTAACAGATATGGGATTTTCTTCCATGTTTAAGTGAGCTTTGGAGAAGATGCCTCCTTCTGAAGACAACTTCAGAGAAGTTCAGACCAGCCTGTAAGCTAAAGGATACTGGAGTCAAAATCAAACTGGATAGAGATATATTTTTTAATTGTGTTGCTCAAGTGATCATATGAGAAATTCTTACTACCATTCAACAACTTGTTTCAACAATTGCTCATTCGGTGACACAAAATAACCCTATAACCATTCCAAAGACCCATTTTCCCTTTTTGATGTATGCTTCTATCTCATTTCAATAAAATTTGGCTTTGAAACCACTATATTTTAATCTAAAATCTCAAAAATGTACTTTCCTTGTTATATTTCCCTCTCTCTGAGAAATACCTTATTTGAGTTTGCTTAGTGCTAAGCCACTCGTGGGTGTGCTATTTGACTTCCACTACTACACTAAGGCCAGTTTACTTCTAGCATCAGTGGTCAAGATGGCTTGATGCTATGAAAAATAATAATTATAGCAACAATTGTTTCATGTCTAATGCAGAAGCTTCACAATAATTTGTACATGTTTTAAAATAAGAAATATATGGTATAACTACTTTCTGAATGGAGAAAATACTTGTAGGCTGAATTAAATCTTCAAAAATCACCTTTCCAATTTCTCATAACATTAACTAAAAGAAATAAAATAGAAAAATGGACATTAAGGTCAATTATGGGGCAGTCCCAGTCAAGCAATCAGGCAAAAGAAAGAAATCAAAGGCATCCAAATAGGAAAAGAAGAAGTCTATTTTTCTTTGTAGACAATATGATTCTATATATAGAGGATTCTAAAGACTCTGCCAAAAGGCTCCTGGAATTGATAAATGACTTCAGTGAAGTTTCAGGATACAATATCAAAGTATCTTTTTCTATACACTAACAATATTCAAGCTGAGAGTCAAATCAATAATGCAATCCCATTTACAATAACTGCAAAAAAATAAAATAAAATAAATACTTGGGAATACATTTAACCAAGGCAGTAAAAGATCTCTATAAGGAGAACAACAAAACACTGCTGAGAGAAATCATAGATGACACAAATGGAAAAATATTTCATACACATAGATTAAAAGAATCAATATCATTAAAATGGCCATACTGCCCAAAGCAATTTACAGTTTCAATGCTATTCCTATCAAACTACCAATGTCATTTTTCACAGAACTAAAAAAGCTATTCTAAAATTCACAGGGAATCAAAAAGAAGCCCAAATAGCCAAAGCAATCATAAGCAAAAAGCACAAAGCTGGAGACATCAAATTACCAGACTTAAAACTATACTAAAAGCCTGTAATAACCAAAAGAGCATGGTACCAGTATAAAAACAGACACACAGACCAATGAAACAGAATAGAGAACCCAGAAATAAACCCACACATCTACAGTCATCTTATCTTAGACAAAGTTGACAAAAATAAGCAATGGAGAAAGTACTCCATATTCAATAAATGGTGCTGTAATAGATGGCTAGTCATATGCAGAAGAAAGAAACTGGACCCCTACCGTTCACCATATACAAAAATTAACTCAAGATGGGTTAAAGATTTAAATGTAAGACTTCAAACTATAAGAATCTTTGAGGAAAACCTAGGAAATACCATTCTGAATATCAGCCTTGGGAAATAATTTATGACTAAGTCCTCAAAAGCAATTGCAACAAAAATAAAAATTGACAGATTGGAACTAATTAAACTAAAGAGCTTCTGCACAGCAAAAGAAACTATCCCCCATCTCTACAAAAGATAAAAAAAAAAAATTAGCTGGGTATGGTGGTGTGTCTGTAGTCCCAGCTACTTGGGAAGCTGAGGCAGGAGGATTGCTTGATCCCAGGAGGGTCCAGGCTGCAGTGGGCCATGTTTGCACCACTGCATTCCAGCCTGGGTGACACAGAGTGAGATCCTGTTGAAAGAAAGAAAGGAGGAAAAAGAAAGAAAGAGAAAGGAAGGAAGGAAGGAAGGAAGGAAGGAAGAGGGAGGGAGGGAGGAAGGAAAGGAAAGGAAAGGAGGAGAAAAGGGAGGGAGGGAGGAAGGCAAGAAAAGGAAGGAAGGAAGGAGGGAAGGAGGGAAGGAAGGAGTAAATAAACAATCAACAGAGAAACAGAATAAACAGACAACCTATAGAATGAGAGAAAACATTTGCAAACTATGCCTCCAACTAAGGTCTAATATCCAGAATCTATAAGAAACTTAAAAACTGAAGCAACGAAAAACAAATAGCCCCATTAAAAAATAGTCAAAAGACATTAATAGACACTTCTCAAATGAAGACATACAAGCAGTCAACAAACATGAAAAAATGTTCAACATCGCTAATCATCAGAGAAATGCAAATCAAAATCACAATGAGATACCATCTCACACCAGTCAGAATAGCTACTATTAAAAGTCAAAAAACAACAGATACTATTAAGGCTGCAGAGAACAGGGAACGCTTATACACCATTGATGGGAATGTAAATTAATTTAGCCACTGTGGAATGCAGTTTGGAGATTTCTCAAAGAACTTAGAACTATTATTTGATCCAGCAATCCCATTACTGAGTATTTATCCAAAAGAAATTGTTCCACCAAAAAGATACATGCACTCGTATATTCATTGGAGCACTATTCACAATAGCAAAGACATGGAACCAACATAGGTGACCATCAATGGTGGACTGGATAAAGAAAATGTGGTATATGGAATACTACATGGAATACTACACAGCCATGAACTGTGGCTGCATCCAACATGGATGCTGCTGGAGGCCATTATCCTAAGCCAGTTAACACGGGAACAAAACCAAATATGACATGTTCTTACGTATCAGTGAGAGCTAAACATTGAGAACATATAGACAACAAGATGGCAACAATAGACACTGGGGACAAATGGGTGGAGGAGGCTGAAAAACTAACTATTGGGTACTATGCTTAGTACCTGGGTGACAGGGTCAATCATACCCCAAACCTCAACATCATACAATATATCCTTGTAACAAACCTGCACATGTACCTCCTGAATCTAAAATAAAAGCTGAAATAATAAAAGAGAAAACATCCATTATGGTATTACAGTTTCCTTCAATTCTTAAAAATAGCTCTTCTGGAAGCATAACAGACTTACAACAAATGCTATATATTTAAAGTGTGTAATATGGTTAATTCACTCTTGAACTACATACACTGTTGAGACCATCACCACAATCAAGATCATGAACACACCCATTATCCCCCAAAATTTCCTTATGCCCTTTATAATCTCATCTCCCCTGTTCTACCCAACTTCATTCTCAGGCAGCCACTAATCTGTCAGTATGTATTAGTTTGCATTTTCTACAGTTTTATATACACTGAATCACACAGTATGTACTCCTTTTTTTTGTCTGGCTTCTTTCAATCAGCAAAATGTTTCTGAGATTCACCTGTGTTGTTGCAGGTATCAGTGGTCCATTCCCTATTATTGCTGAGTAGTATCTCATTGTATGAATACACCACAGTTATTTTATCCATTCACCTGTTGAGGGACATTTGGCTTATTTCCAGTTAGGGACTGTTAAAAATAAAGCTGCTATGAACAATCTTTTTACAAGACATATGCCTTCATTTCTCTTAGGCAACCTCTAGGAGTTGAGTGGCTGGATCATATGGTAGGTGAACGTTTATTCAAGAAGCTGTCAAAATGTTTCCAACATACTTGTAATAATTTTATTTTCCACAAGCAATGTAAGAATTCCAGTTGCTCTACATCCTTGCCAGCACCCAGTATGGTCACCCTTTTTTGCCTTAGACATTCTAATACATTTTAATTTGCACTTCCCTAATGAGTGATGATGTTGGACATCTTTTTATGTGCTTATTTGTCATCACATGTCTCCTTTGGCAATGTGTCTATTCAAATGTCTTGCCCATATTTTTATTGCATTTTTGTATTCTTATTTGTAAGGCTTGAGAGTTTTTCTTACCAGATACAATCCCTTTCTCAAATATATGATTTGCAAACATTTTCTCCTAGTATGTGGCTTGTCTTTTCACTCTCTCAACAGCATGCTTGTGATCTTGACTCTATAACAAGCTCAAATCAAAGTGCTTTGGCCTTTGTGTCAGACACCCATTGGCCTACCCAGTGTGCAAGCAGGGCCATTCAAAGAGCAATGCTCCTTCAAGAATCACAAAGAACTTCATATCCATTTGGATTTTTTTTTTTAAAAAAGAGAAAATAACAAGTGTTGGCAAAGATGTAGAAAAACTGGAACACTTCTGCACTCTTGGTGGAGATGTAAAATGGTGCAGCCTCTGTGGAAAACAGTATGACAGTTTTTCAAAAAATTAAAAGCACAATTGCCATATGGTTCAGCAATTCCACTTCTGGACTACGCAAAAGAATGGAAAGCAGAGTCTCAAAGAGATATTTGCACACTCATGTGTAGTACTTAATACCATTGATCCATACACTAAAAAATGGTTAAGATGGTAAGTTTTGTATTATGTGTGTTTTACCACAATAAAATTTCTGTAATAAAAAAGTAAAAAAGAATCACGAAGAAGAATCACCAAGAAGGCATCACCAGTTGTCCTGGTCTTTAAGGTAAGTGTGGGCACAGAGCAGCCAGCAGGATAAACACTCTGAATGAGACACAATGTGAAGATGGTGCTGTCACAGTAGGCTTGACTCCAAAACATCTGGGCTTCAGCTTTTGTTCTGGCACTTACTAGCTCCAACTAGTCCATTAGGTTCTCTAGACTTTCTGTCCCCTTCTGTAGAATGAAGCAGAATTGAGTAAAATGGAGAATCCCTCCCTTGATTTTCATGTGAGGCTGTCTTGAGAATCCAATGATCATTTTTAAATTGAAAAGTACAATGTCAAGTTGGGGGGCAGGTGGGGAAGGCTACATAAAGGGTTTTATACCAGGAGATGCTATTGTTAATAAACAAGCGAGGTTTATGGTGGACATTCTAAAGAAGACCTGGTTTCTTCTCCCTCACAGCTAATTGGCCACACAAGGAAGTCTGTCTTAAATCCACTTCAGCCCAACATCTAATAATCTATTGTGTGACTATAGGCAAGTTACCTAATCTCTATGAGTTTAGGTTTTCTCACCTGTTTGATGGGAAAAAATGATCAGTAATAACATCACCAGGGATATGGGCAAAGTAAGTCAGGGTGCTTGAAACAGTTGACCTCAGTGCCAACAAATTTAGAGAAACACAGCCTCTGTAAGAACTCTCTGTCAGTAGTTTTCACATTTTAATGTGCCCATGAATTTCCTGAAGATCTTATTAAAATGCAGATTCTGAAACAGGAGGTCTGGACTAGGGCTCAAGCTTCTGCAGGTCCCAAGCTCCCGTGTCCCAGTGATGATGCCCCTGTAGGGACACATTTTGAGCAGCAAGACCCCGTACCGTGGGTCTCACTGTACAGTCTGCTTGTACATATCTTAGTCTCATTTTATAAAAAGAAAGAAATAGAAAGCTTTAATCAGGTCTCAATTCTATTAACTTCAGTTCTAAACTTTTTGAGCAATAGATACCTTAGACTTGGACTTACTTTAAACTTAAAAGAGTTTAACATCACTGTCATACAAATGATGGGAGAAAAGCCCAGAGCTGGGAAGCACTGTGCCTAAAGTCACAGAGCAACAGACCTCTCAGTCCTTACACTTGCCACAAATACAATGATTGAGGACAGTCTTCACCCAATTTCCTCTCAAACATACACTGTCATTGAGGAAGCCCAGGGACAGAAAGACAGGGATTGGAGTCCAAAGAGAAGCCAATGGAGGTATGATGCTTCTCTGTGATTCAGAATGTTCCTCTGAACCTCTCCAAAGAACCAGAAGCAAACGACCAGTCCATCCACATTGGAATCTATGCAAGACTTTATGTAAAGCATCCCTGGCCATCTCCACCCTGAAAATTATTTTCTTTCTTGTAAATTTCAAAATCACTTAGCCAGAATTCAGACTCTGCTTCTCCTTGATTTTGGGGTCTTTGAATCTCAGGCTTCAGCTTCTGACTAAAAAAAGGAGCCCTCTAGGAGAGCATAAAGCCACTGGAGTCCTCCTTGAAATGTAGGCAGTAATGGTGGCAGCCAACCCCCACCACCCCATGAGGCAGTGGCTCAGGGAGGGTATTTCTCTATAAGCATGAGTAACCACTCCAGCTTCCTGGGAATGTGTGATAAATGTTCCCATGGCTGTGCTGCAGCACAGTGGGTGCTGTTGGCTCTGTCTCACCACATATGTTATCTTCATGGTAGCTGCTCCCAAAAAGGGTTGTAACTCAAGGGAATCTCTTCACAGATTTGTGTCTGGCTTTAAAACAAGGAGCTCTCAAACATGTCAAATGAGGGAAGCAGACGGTGTCTCTATTTTGGGGTGCTTTTTCCCTTTGGGTTTGTAAAGGTTTCCTCTGGGAGGACTCTTCCCTTTTACATTCATGGGTTTGATGGCTTGCATGTTGCAAGCCAATTCTGCATCTGGAAAAGAGCCTTTTTCCAGGTATACAGTTTAGTGAGGTTCAGGTTGATCCAGAGAGAGGGAGGCAGCAGAAGGTGGGGGAGGAACACAGCACTTAATGGACACAGCATGTTACATTAGTTGAATACTTCTTTGGTTGCCATAGGAATGAGAAGACTTTTGATTTTAAATCATAGTTCCTCCAGAGCTATGTTAAAAATGTGATGGTAGAGTCTTGCTGTTTACCACTACCAGCTTTTTTAAATCAAGGGCTCTTTAAAAAAATGCAGCCCAAATGTTTACCCTGCCAGAGGAGGTTATACTAACCTGAAAAATGTTACTCCCAATGCTCTAAGGGCTAAAGAACATGAACTTCTCCCAAGTACCTTGGGTCCCACAATTCCCAGGCTAGTGAAATACAATGCAGTTCTATTATTTGTCCTCCCAGGAGAGAGCTGTGAAATATACAAAAGAGCCTGTGACGGATGGTAACTCACTCAAGGCAATTATCATCGTAGTACTGTGAAAGCACATTTAAAAATCAATTGGTTTAAAACCAACAGCTCTTGAAACCATTTTTAAAGATTATTCGTTTAAAACATGGTGGTACATGTTTCTGTTTTGTTTTTTTTCCATCAGTCAGCCTGCTAATCCTTTTTGTTGCTATTCAAAGTTCAGACATGAGAGTGCCACCCTACAATTTCAGCATTAAACACAGTACCAGGTTTGAGTGTCTACTCCTTCCTCCCCTACCACCAACTAAGTACTGTATTCCCATCTAATTTGAAAAGCTAAGGAGAAATTAAACACATTAAAGGTTGAACACTACACAAAGGTTCCCAACCAGCATACCAAAATGCCTCTCTCTTGGTCGTTGGTGGCTGAGACCCTGGAGATGACTGCTTCTAGACATTTCTGCTCATTTACAGATAGGATAGTTTTCAGTGTATGCTTTCACATGAAAAAAAGTTAAGAGAATCAAAGTTCAGGCTAAACTGTAATCTCCTGAGGAAGGAATCAAACTAGCTTATTGTATTCCCAGCAACTATTTACAGTGTCTGGCACATATTGAGTGATAAACTATCATCTGCTAATGAAACAATGATGAATAAATGTATAATACCTGAACATTTACAGTGGGCAAGATCTGTGGACCAATCCCTGGAAGAATAGAAAACTTCAGTTGTTTTGCTGGTTCGTTTTGAGACACGGTCTTGCTCTGTCGCCCAGGCTAGAGTGCAGTGGCGCGATCACAGCTCACTGCAGCCCCAACCTCCTGGGCTCAATCGATCCTCTCACCTCTCACCTCAGTCTCCCAAAGTGCTGGGATTATAGCCATGAGCCACTGCACCCTGCCAGAACATCAGTTGTTGTGCAATTACGCAGTGTATAAAGTGCCCACTCTGTGCCAAGCATCTACATATATCGTGTCATTTAATTTGGCTGAGGAAAGAGAAGATGAACTCATGAAAATTCTGCTCTAGTTTGTCATTCACTGTTGCAAACTTCGCTCAGGAAAGCAGGATAGCAAAAAGAATAACAGATGTCCTTTTGGTGAAGATGTCTTGGCATGGGTCCTCAATGCTTTCCTACTTTATATGGCCCACCAGGAAAAAAAAAATGTGCCTTGAAGCACTCTCTGTGAAGAAAAATAATGATAATATCTAACACTCCTTGGGTGTGTACGAGGAGCCAGGCACCACTCCAGCTGCTTCACACATATTAACTCATTTAATCTTCATGTATACATACATAGTTAACTACAACATACGTTAGAGATATAGACAAAATACTACCGAATTTCAGAGGACTAAGAGCTTATTTGCAATTGGAGTGATGGAGGCAATGTCTCAACATATTAGATGGATACAGTTGGAGTGGATGGGAAGGGGTGCTCTATTCCCTCAACTCCTTGCATACATGTAGGCTGTTCAAAAATTATTGTTAAATACTACCTATGTATTTCCTGTGTTCAGGCTCTGCGTTGTCTCATTTGGCCCTGATTTTTATTCCTCTGCTAGAGATGGAAACTGAGACCCAAGGAGATTAGCGTGCAAGGTTCTGCTACAGAACTAGGATCCTCTAGATGATATTTTTAACTACTTCACGCATTGTCTCCTGAATGATTAGCTAACATTTCTTTGGTGCTCATTATACAGCAATGAGTGTTTTGAGGCTAAATATGACAGATTATTTTTCTTTCATTTACTGATAATGTTTATGATATATTAAAATGCAGTGAATACCAACAAGGTTCTCTTTGTTTCAGAAAAGACAAATAAAGGCATTCCTCTTAGGAGAGAGGAGTTGAGTCTTCCGTTATCTTTAATCCACGAGGAGCAGAGAATTATGATTTGGAAACTTAATTCCTGTGATATGATACCCTTCAATGCCTTCAGGTGACAGATCCTAAAAGCATTTACCTTTGAACAACAAATTAAACTGGGGACTATGTCATGAATAATAATAATTGTTTGTTATACAAAGATATGCATCAAATGTCTTTGCACATATACATAAGAAAAACATTAAGTGTTAATATTTAAGCATACAGACTTTGCTGTAGAATGTGTCAGTGTATTTTAAAGCTAAAAGGAATGAGTCACCTAAGTCCATTACTATTTAGATACGACCCACACTGCCTCCCTCCCTGTGAGCTCTCACTGCTATGTTCAGTCCTATTTGTTCAATGTGCTTTGGAGGCTCAAGGGCCATATCATTAACGTAGGGTCTATTAGACTTGTGGCTCTTAGAGATTATTGTTCTTTCTTTCTTGAATATGTGTTTGGATATTTTCAGGGTTGCTATCTGGATTTTTAGGGGGACTAGGAAAAGGCTAGTCCTCCCACTAGGGAACTTGTGACTAATTTGTCAGCCTTCTCCAGGAGAGTTGAAAATAAATCACACACACACAGAGAGGGGGAGAGTAAGGAAAGAAAGAGAGAGAGAGAGAGAGAGAGAGAGAGAGAATGAAAGAATTGAGGGCAATGTGATTTTCTTGCCAGAGGGAATAAGTCAAATATCATTATTATGTATCCTAAAATTCATGTAAAAAAATTACTATTGTCAATGTACTTCTCCATCATTGGGTGGTCATCTTAACGTCTTCATATTTAGATATTTGACAGTTATAGTAAGTAGAGAGTTGCTAGAGAACTTCTTGTTTCCTTACTCAACATTTCCCCCTTCCCCTATTTCCAGATGAACGACCTGGGCACAGAGATGGGGACTGAATCTGACTATTTTTTTCTCTGAAACAAAAAGATTTTCATATTATAAGTAAGATCAACTTACTAGAATCCAGTTGGCAGAAGGGTAAGATGACATATGAACTCTTGTTCTTTCCTCTCTCAACTGACCTTTCTAAAAAGTATTAACAGAAGGGAAAGGATATTTTCAGAAGTGGGCAGCAAGTGAGGCCAATGGATGTCCTCTGCCTGGCCCTGGCCCCACCATATTGTCCAGTGTGCACCTCATCCAGCGTGGCTGTCTCCAGGGCAGTTTCAAGAGCAGAGGGCTTTGTGGTTTTGGTGTGAAGACTTTTCCTGCTAACTGAGGATGGCCCAAGGGGAAACTCCTTTGGCACAACGTTCTTGAATAGAATTAATGAATCCACCTCTGAATCTATAAGGCAGCTTTGGCCCTGGTTCAAATGAAGATGCTAACAAATTTAATGCCCTTTTCTAACAGCAGAGTACCAGGTATCTTAAACTTAAGGAAGCCCTCAAAACATGACTGTAGGCTTATACGGAATAGAATTAAGGTCTCTTCCCTGAGACTTCTTTCTCCACACAGTTTCCCAGTCTTCCCAGCCTTCTTTAGCTTTCTAAGTATCATCAAAACTTATTCACGAGAAAGAACTGAAAGTTCAATTACTCTAAAGCCAAAATAACTGATGATGGCTTAACATGTTTTCTCTGCCATCAAGATTTCAATATGAATAAAGCCTTAGATAAAATACTTGCAGTACCCCTATCAATTAATGACAAACTTTATAAAGAAAGGAAAGGAGGCCACACCTGTAATCCCAGCACTTTGGGAGGCTGAGATAGGAGAATCAATTGAGGTCAGGGGTTCTAGACCAGCCTGGGCAATATAGCAAGACCCCGTTACTATTAATTTTTTTAATGAAAGAAAAAAAAAGGAAAGAAATTTCTTTCGAGGGAGGGGTTGGGAGGTAAAGTGACTTATCAAGCAGAGGGAGCCACTGCTATTGAAACATTCTGGGGTCAGGTCTTTGCAAAAATGAATGAATATTGTTTTCTGTGGTTGTCTAGCACGCTAGCACTTCAACAAAGATTATTAATCTAGGTACCAAACCAACAGATCCAACATATCATCACACTTTAAGAAAGTCTCTAATATTTTAAAGTTAAAGTTAGTTGGGTTTATTAGCAGAAAAAGAATCTTCTCCAGGATGTCATTTAAGTAGAAGGCCAGACCTCAATAGTCCAACACAAATATAAAACATGGTCTTCTAGGGAGCTCTGGAATATAAGGTAATTAAACAAGGAAAATTCATTGTAAAATTATAAATAAGAAGAACTGCTTTATCTCTTAGCAAAGAGGATAAACCCAGGCTGGTTCCAATGGAAGTCAACAGCATAATGTAAAAAGAGCAAGTTACCTACTTACAAATCATGTGATCTCTCCTGGAATGTTTGGGTCTTTTGCCATCTAACACAATAAATAAGCACACCCCCAAAATAAATACAAGCTTATATCTTTACTTGCCTCTAGATTCCATCATGAAGCATACCTCTGTTTTGAATTAATTGAATACATCTGCTTGTGTATAGAATACTCACATATGTATCCTCTTCCAACCAAACTAAAAACAAAAAAGTATGTATCTCTCTACCATCTCACATATTTTTAATAATTCTAGATTATTTGTTTCAACCTTACAGTTCTACACTTTCATATTTTAATGCCATCAATGTAAAACATATGACTTGATTTTGGAATTTTTAAAATAATATTTTATTTCTAGGTCATAGAGATATTTTAACACTGAATTAAGTTTTGCAGAGCTGAAATCTTGAGAATGTTTTGGGTTGGATTGTTCAGTGCCGAATACGTGTTAGCTTGAATACTTGATGTAACCTTGCCTTCCTCTCTGATTATTTCTCAGAACAATAGACCATTATAAGTGTTGTTTTGGAGCAGTTTAAAGTTACAAAACAGAATTGAGCTAATCAGATTTTGACATTGGCTTTTGAACATTACTATGCTTTACCATATTTAAAAATAATTTTTGAACACACACACACACACCTATATGTAATCTATAGCTATATTCCCCAGAGAGTGAGATCATTTTTTGAAAATCTATTACAGAAGTTGGTCATATGATGCTACAGAACACAGTGATAATTATTTAGTAAAAGTAAGTCCCTGTTTGCAAATGAATAATCATCCCCTTCCCAAATACATTTCTTTCTTTGTTTCTTTCTTTTTTTTTTTTGAGATAGAGTCTTGCTCTGTCACCCAGGCTGGAGTGCAATGGCATGATCTCAGCTCACTGCAACCTCCACCTCCCAGGTTCAAGCGATTCTCCTGTTCAGCCTCCCAAGTAGCTGGAATTACAGGTACCCAACACCATGCCTGGCTAATTTTTTATATTTTTAGTAGAGATGGGGTTTCACCATGTTGGCCAGGCTGGTCTTGAACTCCTAACCTCAGGTGATCCACCCACCTTGACTTCCCATAGTGCTGGGATTACAGACATGAGCCTCTGTGCCCGGCCCCAAATACATTTCTTTAAGTTGAAATTTTCCCTCCTGAGTTTTCTTAAATTACGACCCTTTCATATTATTTGTTCACTTTGTAAAGTATTTTAAATTTCTCTTTCTTGGTCAACTCTCCAGAAATGACTGACTTCCAAATCCACCACCTACCCCCTGGGAATCAACTCTATTTTTCACATTTCCAGTTTAGCATCTCTTTCTTCAATCACACATTCATTTGCACTCACCTAAAGGTTTGGTCAGCAGCATAGACTTATACTCTCTCTCTCTCTCTTTCTCTCATCTATGAGTCATTACAATTTCAGTAGAATTACAATAACGAGTTCAGAACCTGTCGCCCACACCTCACAGTAAGTAAAAGGAACCAGAAGACAGCTTTCTCCTCTTATAAATGTCAAGTGTTCAGCATGTCTCCAGTGGGTGCTGAATAGAAAAGTAACCTTAAAGAAGTCAGTCCTTGGGTTGGAGCAAAGCTTTCAGAATTCAGAGTCCATAGTTGACTTTCCTACAAGGGCATATGATTGGTAGTTTCAGCTTCCTTTTTCATGAGGCTTAACTGTCTGCAGCACCGGCTTGGTGTCTGATCTGTTCTGATCGGGTGGGAGAGGGAGACCCCACAAAACAAACAGCAGAGGATTTTCAGGTTTGTTTCAAGGGCAGCCAGCCGAGCTGTGTATAGGGAGTGGGGGGACAGGGGTGGTGTTGATGGTCTTCCTTCCGAGGCTTATCAAATGTAAATGCTCTTTTCTTAACAAGCTGACCCACTGTACACCACACCATACTAATGAGCAATTCTGCTTGGTCAACAAAGGGTGCAAGAGGTTGTGGAAAACCCACAGTAGGGCTTGCATTTGGCTATCACTATGCCCTGCATGAAGATCTCAAAGTACTGTGCCTAAAAGTCATTACTGAGGTTTGGTAGGAAGAATATTAAACCAGAATAACTTGAGATACTAGCCAAAGTTTATTTTTGTTGTTGGTATTATTTTGTTACATTCAGACAGAGAGAAATGCATTTAGGCAGACTGGCATGATCTGCGCTGGATATTTGACCAGGCAATCAGAAGCAAGGAAAGGAAGAAAGCCAGGCAAGAGGGAAGGGGTGACATCAAACGTGCCCTCTGTATTTCGCTCCAGAAAACAGCTCACAATTATGACTACCTGCCTTGTTTTGCAGCTCAGCATAAAAGTGGTGTTGCACCAAACCCTACTGGAGCAGCCTTCATGATTAGAAAGTACTCCACACCTTGGAGAGCTGAGGAGACATGAGAATAATTTTAAATGCAAATTAAATTGAGGGGGTAGCAGAGAAGAACACATAAAAGACAGTAAAACAAAACCTTTCAATTTTCTTAAATTAGCAGTCTAATGTGTTCTAAAGAGCAGCTCCACTCAGATCTCTTCTTAAGGGTTGCATTTCATCACAGTATAAATGGGCAAATCCATCACTTCCCTCTGCTCAGTGCTCTTGAAGCGAGATTGAAGGGAAAATTAGAAGCTGTTCATTTGTGCTTGCGGGCTCAGAAGCGTCGCACTGCTTTGTTTTGTACTCTACCGTGTCCTGTTGAAAGGGGTCAACAAGTGCCGGTGAGTATCCGCTAACTTCCAGACTCTTCCTTTCAAATATCTTTTTGGCTAATTTTCCTTTGCCGGGGATGGGGGTTGTGGGGGGAGTGGGGATCTCCCACAAAATCTATGCTATAATATGTCTTTCAGAATCTGGGAAATTTCAGACAGCTTTTTAAGCTTCTTCCAGTGACTGATTTGCAGAAGGGAAGAGTTATTTTCAGCCTAGATGCCGGTGGCTGTTCTGTGTATTAATTATAACAGGGGAATGTCTAACGTATGTTAAGCTAAAATGGCCTTTCCCTAAACTCCCCCATTCCCTGCCACTCTTAGGCCAGCATTAGGGTAATAACTGGTGCCCCCACAAAAATTTCTAGACAACTTTTCTATATATTAAATTTTTAATCATTTCATATTCTATTCTTTTGTAGCTGCAAATCAAACTAAGATTTGGGATTATGAAAATAAACAATGAAGACATAAATCTGTTTTGTTTTTTTTTTAATGACTATGGCACTTCTCTGCCTAAGAGATAGGGGGCTGGGGAATAGCCCTGCATGATGTATGCATGTGGATTTGATGATTTTCTGCCAAAGTTTTACACGGGAAACTGGTAATTTTCTCCCTTCGCAGGGGAGGGTGCAGAGGCTGAGGCTGGCGTCACCTTCCGTTGCTAAGGTAACGTGCTCTGGCCATTTTATCTGATAAAGGAAGTCCAGTGGACTGTATGCATTATTCATCACTGTTCTAATCAAACAATCAAAATCGTTTACTTTCACCGGGAATATTTAGCAAGATCAAAGACACTCTGGCTGGAACGGCTCTTGTTTTACCGCTGACAGATAGCCTTTGATTTTTATTTTTTGCAGTAAGTATATTTGCTATTGGGGTACCTTTGGGTATTTTTAAAAGTTTTGTCTTACCGGACTTGGTTTCTTAAATTAAAATACATACTGTTAGAAAGAGAAACCAATTGGATTAGACTTCCAAGCTTGGTTTTAATGACTTTGTCTTGTTAATTCTTTCCAAAAAAATATTCTGCAGAAATAGAGATAATTCATTTGTGTGAGTATCAGGGAAAGGCTACATAGGCTTGAAAAAAGAACCCAACAGGCTGAATGTTTTCTGGGGAAGTATATTAGCTTTGTGACAGGCTAGTGTATGATAATATAGGGATCACTGTAATGCTGCAATCATTCTTGCTGCTCTACAAACCACAATTGTTTCTCAAAAATCAGCCCCTGCCAGGCACAGGCAGGTGACGATCCTCTAGCACTTTATAAAATGTGCTGAAGGGAATCGCCGGAAAGGAAGGAATTCAAAGCATTTGTACAGCAAATATGTCAGTGTGTGTCATAAACGCACGGCATCTATGAGTGGAGGCTCGGATTCCCAGGCAATTTTCCCTGCTCCAGGGGAATCCGAAAGTCCCAGGATGAGCTGAGGATCAACACTCACAACGGCTGACACTTAATGACGCTATTTATCAAATAGACCTTTTGAAAACTGATAGCATGTGAATTTAACAGTATATGTTCCAGAGAATATAAAGCAAGGAAAGGCTGGTATGTTATCTCTCTTTAGATCAGATCATCTGTTTTTCCTGAGTAGAATATATTACTTTTAATGAATGTTGGCTAAATGCGGCATTTTCTCACACGGTAGGAAAGCTATGCTGGGGGGTGGCTTTAGAATTGCAAATGTCAATCAAGTAGTAGAATATTATAATGGGATATTCTTATTCAAACATTTTAAAGTACATCTATATATACACTTTATACTTGACGTCTAAAATATTGTGGATTTTTTTTTCCTCTTTATAGGTGTTCCAGTGTTTTCTCTCAAAACTCTGTGTTTGGAACATCAAGGATGGATTATCCCAAAATGGATTATTTTCTGGATGTAGAGTCTGCTCACAGACTCTTGGATGTTGAGTCAGCTCAAAGATTCTTCTACAGTCAAGGAGCTCAAGGTAATAAAATAAGAAAAAGAAATTCCTCTTATTTGCACGTCGGTTTTATATGAACAGCCATGTAGGCTGTAGCTGTTAAAGCCTTGCTCTGAAAGTTTAATAACCGGTATTTCTAAGTTGATAACCTCTACCAAACTGCTGCTGGAATTGAGGCAGGTATATAATAGAATAAATAAATCCACACTTCTTGGATGTGGTTAAAAAAATGCCCAACTTTTGGTGTAAGTGCCCCTCAGAAAGCTATGTTAGAAATGATTTCCTACCACCTGTGTCCAACACTTATGTCCAAAAAGAATCAAGAATGCTCTTCCCCTTGGAGAATTTCCAGTTTGCAGCCACAGCTCTTGAAATCTTAGGGCATCATGACCCAGTGGACTGGAATCCAGCAGGATTAGGGGCTCTTGAGAGAAGCGCTGAGCTTCTCTATAGCTGCCTTCTCTATTTTAGCTGAATTCAGTTACCGCCTCAGATAATTACTAGTGTACATTCAGGGAGCAAGCCTCTTGGGAAGTGTGGTTGATGTGTCCGTTTTTATTACATGTTTCAAGATGGTCAGTTAGGTTCCAGTTTTCTTGCCCTTCTGTTGGGGTATTTAGAATGTTTTTCCACCACATTAAAGAAGAAGCTGGAGTGTTATATGGGATCTCGTGACTAGGAGGAGATTTTTTTTTTCACATATTTTCTGTTTTCCATGAAATGTTTAAGGTGTTCAGTCAAAGCAACCTGATGATGGGCATGTCCCAAATGATACAGGTGATGCATTGAGAAGGAGGACAATGTCCCTATTTTAAAATAGAAAAGCAGTTGAATTCTTAGAAGTCACAAAGCAGAGCTGAGAAGATAATGCAGTCAGTTTTTATAATTCTGGCATCTTTCACTTTAGATGGTGATGGGAACTTTACACACGCCACTGATAATATCCTGTCTGGGCTTTCCCAAGTGGTCCTCTGAATTGCTTTTACCTCCCTCTCAAGCCAACTTATCGTGGTAACCTCAGGGGGCTTGCAAGCCATCTCCTTCTCTGCTTTCATTTCTCAGAGCATGACCCAGTCTTCTTAAAGTCAAGAGGGGTTGGAAATGGTCTGGTTGATTTGCTGAGGTCTGTGTGCTCAACAGCAGAGCTGAAATTAGCAGAAGTGATGTAATAGCAAACTCTCCTCAAACTTCTGGGTGTATGGAGTCAACATGGCTGTTCCCAGCCACTTAAAGACACATAAAAATGTGAGTGAAGAAGGAAAAGAGTGAGAGACTGGCCAGGACCTCCAACCTCTTCTGGGTCTGCAAGTAAGAAAATGCTGGAAGTAGAGGTAGAATGGAGGTTGGAAGGGGGTGGGGGATGAAGTTAGGCTCAATTCCTTCTCCAGTCTCAAGGTCACACATTGCTATGTGATTGGTCCATTCGACTGGAATGAGACAATAATGCTCCGTAGCGGGGTCATCCCGCTGAACCGCATAGCTGTTGGCAAAACAGAAAGGGGGGCAGCAGTTAATTATAGAGAATAAAGATGCCCATTTTGTCTTGCTGTGGGGATGCTTTAAGCCTTTAAGAAGACCGTGGGCTCCAAGATCTTACGGAAGGAAAGCAGGCAGTGTGTGGGAGGCTCGGGAGGACTCAAGGCAGCCTTCTGGTTTTCAGCAGATGGAGCTGGGGGTGGAGTGGTCAGAATTGTCACCATCAGTGACTGTGGTTTAGACACCGGAGCTGGAAGGACTAGAAAATGCATGGGAGGTGGCAGCATAAGCTACTGTTGCTCCCTGGAGTCATGTTCGTATTAGAGTAATCAGATGATGTTTCAATCAAGGATTCCTGGATTTGCAGGAGGGGCGGGGGTTCCCGCACACATTGTCTAGGTCAGTGTTTCAAAACCCCCAGTCTTCCTGAACCAGATATCCTGGTGTAAGGCCTGTGAATTTGCATTTTAAGCAAGAGCTCCAGGGATGGCTACCTAGCCAGTTCATCAGTCTAGGGACAGTATTTACGAACCAGTCCACCTAATCCCGTTTTCTCCTCTTCCACCTCACAACAGGAACATTGTACTCAACACTAGAGGCAGGATGACATAGTGGTTGCAGGCTCCTCTGCAAAATGCAAACAGTAATAGTTCCTAATTCACAGGTTGTTAAGAGCATTAATGAGGTAAGATTTTAAAGGGCTTAAAACAGTGTCTGCCACATAAGAAATGCTACACACGAGCAAATCAATAAAGTAAAAATCCCAGCAAAAGCCCATCCTCTTCTGTTTAAAACTTCATAATGGGCCTGGCACAGTGGCTCACGCCTGTAATCCCAACACTTTGGGAAGCCGAGGCGGGTGGATCACTGGAGGTCAGGAGTTCGAGACCAGCCTGACCAACATGGTGAAACCCTGTCTCTACTAAAAATACAAAAATTAGCCAGGCGCAGTGGCATGCCTGTAATCCCAGCTACTCGGGAGGCTAAGGTAGGAGAATCGCTTGAACCTGGGAGGCGGAGGTTGCAGTGAGTGGGGGTGGCACCACTGCACTCTAGCCTGGGTGACAGAGTGAGATTCTGTCAAAAAAAAAAACTTCACAATGAAGCCACTGCCTTGCAAACAAGAAATGTGGCCTGATAAAAGTTAAAAAGTTAAACCTATTTCTAGCAACAACCACAAAAAATAGAAATTTTAAATACATTTAAAAATGCAGTGATTCATTTCTTGTCCTGTCAAAACCCAACTCAGGGCATAACTGAAAAATAGCTCATCTTGCTGCTCTCCATCTGTCTTGTCCTTCATTTCACTTTAAAGATGAGAGTCCCTCTCCCTCCAACACCTTCCCTAGATCCCCAGCACACAGGACCTATCACCTTGGGAGGCTCCTTTCTCAAGTTCTGCTTTTACCATTACTTGGGGCTTGGCACTGCATTGCATGGGTTCCTCCACTGTAGCTTCCCTCCCCTTTGCACAGATTCCACAGTCTGTCCTGGACAACCAGCACCCCTTAGGCCTAATAAAGGAACAGTGAATGGGTGAAGGCCTGAGTACCATGGCCGGCACCCTTCCCATCCAAACCAGATGCACACATTGGCCGGATTCAAGCTTGTATCGAACCAACGGCAAGGCTCCGAGGACCAGTGAAGGAGGGCAAGCTGGCGGCCAGCTCTTGAGAAACACATTTGAGACAATTAGGGTCTCATGCTATTGCTGAATCACTCCACCACATGGCAGTTCTCTATTTGGCCAGTCCAGCCAGTGCAGAGGATATTAGTAAGGCCAAGTAGCCCCAATTTGATTACTTCTTCTAAAAAGAAGGCCAACTTGAAAGTACAGTATGGGGTTAAGTATATAAAACTTGGGTGACCTAAGGCTTGGTTGGCTAAACTGTTGTGTGATTATTGCATTTTTGAGTAGTCTATTCTCACTGTCATGCAGATATTTCTATAGACTGATCAAGTGTTCTTACAGATGTAAATGTTTTTAAAGGGAAAAGCAAGAAAATCTGAGTTCCCCTCTCTCATTTCCCACATGACAGCCTCATATCAATTTATTTACAAACTCATAAAGTTCCAGGAAGATAACACCTTCTGTATTAGTCATGTGCAAAATCTTTATCCAAAGCAACAATGCCAGAATTATGTTTTTGATCCACACAGAGTTGTTTCTTTTAGATTTTTCTTGGAAAGTGGCAATAGCCTTCCCTTGAATAGAGGACGTTTTAGCTAGTTAAAGCAAGAGGAATCCAGGAGGGTGAGAAGAAAAAGAAGGAAAAAGGCAATTTATCATGAGAAAAATTCTTTTGGAATTCCCTGAGATTTTCAAAGGTGCCTGATCTATTCTTCTGAATAAAGAACCTGTTATCTTCTCCCACCTCCATTTTCCCCTGGTTGGACCTCAAGGTGGGGGAGATCAGCTGCCTCTCTCATGATTCTGCTTTAGAAGGTATGATGTGTTGCAGAGAGCAGAAAATGTACAGGGTCCTCCTGTTTGCCTCCTGTCAGTGAAGGAGGCTCTCTTGATTAACTAGTGAGTCGTTTGCCAATGGTAAATCCTAACACGAAGGGAGTTCTGCGGAAGTCCCCTTTAACTGAAAAGGAGAACTCCAGAGGTTAGAGATACACATGGCTTCAAATATCATGTCTTGGCATCACATAATTTGAGCTCATCTGTGTTTCAGGTTTCTGACAATGCTACCCCACACACTCAACTTCAGACTCTGTAATTTTGTAGTGAACAATTGAACTTGAAGAGAAGACATATTATAAAATCACAAAATTAACATCATGAGATTTTTAGGTTAAAATGGACATTATAGGCCAGGGACTGTCTTAGGTCTCTTCCTAAGCCAAGAGAAACAGACCCTGGGAGGGCCAGCCCCAGGCTCCAGTGCCATTTTTTCAACTAGCCCATGGGTTTTTATGATGAATACTGGAGCTTGAGAACCACCATTATGGATCGTCAGTCACTTGCTACCCAGAGTGTGATCCCAGACTGACAGCACCAGCTTCATTCATTCGTCTGGGGCTTGTTAGGAATGTAGCATCTCAGGCCCCACCCTAGACCTAGAGAATCAGAATCTGCATTTTAACAAAATCTCCAGGTAATTTATATTAAAGTTTGAGAAGCAACAGTTGAATTCAGTGCACATTACAAACACCACCTGGAATCCTTGTTTTGGCCTTTTCTTTTTTTTTTTTTTTTTGAGAGAGAGAGAGGGGTCTGGCTCTGTCATCTCAGGCTAAAGTACAGTGACAGGATCATAGCTCACTGCAGCCTCAAACGCCTGGGCTCAAGCAATCCTCCAGCCTCATTCTCCCAAGTACCTGTAGGCACATGCCACCATGCCTGGCTAATTTCTTAAGTTTTACAGACAGAATCTTGCTATGTTTCCCAGGCTGGTCTTAAACTCCTGGCCTCAAGCAGTCCTCCCACCTCAGCCTCCCAAAATGCTGGGATTATAGGCCACACCTGGGAGATTTCACAACCTAAATGCTAGAGTCCACTATGGACCAATTAAATCAGAATCTCTGGGGATAAGCCCCACACACGGTAATCTTTTAAACTGCCCCCACGAGATTCAAATGTGGAGCCAGGGCTGACAACTACTGACCTTTGTTTCATAGTAAAAGGTTTCAGCATCATGCAGCTATTCTTCCCCGAATAACTTTCTCTATCTAGGTCTTCCACTTTAAATGAATTTGAACCATGGGGAAGATGCAAATGGACTTTTAAAAAGCACTATGGGCTGGCGCAGTGGCTCACACCTGTAATCCCAGCACTTTGGGAGGCCAAGGCAGGCAGATCGCCTGAGGTCAGGAGTTCGAGACCAATCTAGCCAACATGGTGAAACCTGTCCCTACTAAAAATACGAAAGTTAGCTGGGTGTGGTGGTGGGCACCTGTAATCCCAGCTACTCAGGAGACTGAGGCAGGAGAATCACTTGGACCCAGGAGGCAGAGGTTGCAGTGAACCGAGATCGCACCATTGCACTCCAGCCTGGGTGACAGAGCGAGACTCCATCTCAAAAAATAAATAAATATATAAAAATAAAAATAAAAATGACTTTGTATCAAGGGCTGCCCCTTGTATATTCATTGTATCTGTTAACCCTCAAAGGAACTTTGGGAAGCGGGAATCCTATGCTCATGTTGCAGACTAGAAAACCGAAGACTGATGAGGTGAAGTATCTTGAAAGGGCTGTACATTTAGACAACAGCAGAGTCAGAGTTTTCATTCAAACATATCCATCTCCAAAGCCCAAGCTATTTTGTTTAAGCTGTCTCATGCTGCTTGCCAGGCAGAGGCAACCTCTCATCTAGTTAGACTGATCAAATCAACCCCGCAGATCAGCAAAGGTAACTTCCCTGACCAAACCACACTTCCAGGGATGGTCAAGCTGTGGCTCAGAGTCATTCTGCTGGGAACTCAAATCACACAGCTTAAAAGAGGACAGCAGAGACAGAACCAGATATCATTTTATCACATCCATACCCTGTCCACTGTGTGAGGTTTCTTTTCTCAAAAACCATCAATATACTCGGACATTCAAATTACCTTCTAAAGGGAAAATACATTAAAAGGCAGCCAAATGACAAAAGTCACTAGGCAATCCTAGTGACTCCTGCTAATGATTTCCCCTCTTTTATCATTTAAAATAACACTCGGCATTAGAACCAGGCTCAGTCGTCACTGTTACTTGTCATAATGCACCTTTTCTGTCATCTACATTGTCTTGTTCAAAAAAGGGAAATGCCAGTTTTGACAACTGATGAATGCCACAGTGAGCAGCTAAGAGTCTCTTTAAGTTGTTTTTGGAAATACAGAGGAATTCATCCAAACCCCGTCTCTCCCCTCACGCCTCCACCCACCTCCACTCTTTGCCCACTCTGTGAAATCGGTCAGAGCAGCTGACTTTTGAGTCTTCAGCTTTGAGTTAAATATACTCTAAACCTGACTCTAAACCTCTAGGACTTCAAACATGGCCCCAAGAGACAAAGACATTTGGTAGCACTCCATTAGTTCAAAATCAGGAACAGTAGTAACAAACACAAAACATGCTCATACTATTTCCTTTGCTGTGCTTACAGGGAGACCCAGCCCCATTGTCACCTCCCCTGTGAAGCTTTGCTTAACTTTCCCAGGCCTTCCTCCCATTGCCTATACTACAGCTGTTCACGCCTACACTACAGCCATTGTCATCATCTATGATTCTGCCTCCACCACCTGCTAGATGCATGAGCTCATATAAATGGCTTTACTTCTTTAAACCTCAGATTCCTCATCAAAATAGATATAATGCTAGCTCTGAATCCGCAGGAGACTTTGGGAATTAAGTGAGGTATGCCTATAAAGTGTCTAGTACCTTGTCTATTGTTATTGATTAGTTATTGATACTCTTGTTTTACGATTACTTAAGTGTCTGTGACTTACCTCAATCACAGTGATCTCCTTAAATAGCATCTTCTTGGTGCTTAATATCATCCTTCTTATACAGTAGAAGCACTAACATTTATTAAATGTCTCTATTGAACTGATGGGGTGAGAATGCTTAAATCTACACTATAAAAAGAATTTTTAAAAAAATTTTTATATTTTTAACATTTTTATGGGTACATAGTATAAAGATACATTTTAGACTCCAGGAAAGGGTGTGATTATTCAAGATTTAGAAAATAGAACCTCCTAACACTTTTAAAGAATTAAAATCTTTAGTTGAAAATGGAGCCTGCATAAGACTGAAGGGAAGGACATGCAAAAATAATATTCAAATACATAGAGATATAGGCAATGGAAGCAAGTCATCAACTCTGCTGTATCTCATATAAGAAGAAATTAAACAAAAGTAAGAATATACAGCAGGGAAATTTAGGTCTATTATTGAAAAAAATCAATCTTTTAAAATAGACTTCCAGGGATCCCTGAGTAGTATTCTTCTGAAAAGGGCTTTTTGATATAGAATAGTCTGGGATGATGGAGTTTTCATTCTGCCTAAAAGCAGAATTATGGAATAGGCAAACACCCAACTCTTACTACGGTGAGCTTAATTGAGCTGAGTTTAAAAGCTGCTCTGAACATGTCCAGAAAGCCAGCTCTGAGCTGCACCTTGAGATCCCCTTTTCCCTTCCTTCTTAGATGTTTACTGTCCTGTTTTTATACTTTTTGGCTGATTAATCCTCAAACTAGTTACCATCCCACTCACGCTTCTAACCAGACTCGAAGGAAGGCGGGTGTAGACACCCACCTAAAACCACACACTGGAAACACACACGTTGAGAACCACTCACTGGAAGCCTGGCCATGGTGTTTTAGGAGTCTTGCACAGTGGAAATCAGGTTGTCTTCTTCCTCCATGCCTGTCTCCTGAGCCCTTCATGTCATGACCTTACATATGGCTCATATCTGGACCTACAGGTCTGATTTGCTTCAGAAGGACTGGGGCAGGAACAGTGCTTGCAAGTCAACCCAATCCTCATCTGGACACGATTAAACAACTAGGTTATAACTTTTTCCATTCTCCCTTCTAATGTCCTCCCACCTGCCCCTCAGAGTCCTGCCAGGTAATATCCTGTATTTTTGTTGGTTTGCTATCCAAATAGTTGATATGTAATCATACTGTTTTCCAGACCTTTGTCTCTGAGAAGTGCTTCAGATGAGAATTTATTTTTTATTGTTTCCAGTCTTGGTGCTTGAGGCATCACCCTCAACAAATACTTGTTGTTTTATTTTGTTTTTGCTTTTATTTGTTGTTGTTATTGTTTTTCTCCATCACCCTAGTCAGGAAGCAGTATATGGCACTTCACACACAACTGACAAACTACCTACCATGCCTACCCTCCTAACTGCCCACTCATTCCATTTCAGACCTCTAATTGCTCACACCCAGGCTTTCCAAACCTGTGTTTAATACAGGGAACATGATGGGTGAAAAAGACAGTGAAGGCAGATCGAGAGAAAAAGTATCGTGGAGCTAGCCAACCTGTCAACTCCAACAGATACATAGATGACCATTGAATCCAACCCTCCTGTTCTGGAGTGTGCCCTGGGAACAGGACAATTCTCCGTAGGCAAAGTCTCATTCTTGGTGCTCACAGTTTAACTGTACACAGCCTTTCAATGCTCTTAGTGCCTTTGCCCCTAGCAAGGATCTGCTTTGCCATGTATTGTGATCCAGGACTCATACATAAAGTAGGGCATGGGGATGAGAGGAAGAGGGAGAGAAAATGAGAGAACGAGAGCCAGAGAAGAAGAAAATGATGTGAAAATGCAATGAACTAATTTCAATCAATTAATCATTCCTGCTCTCACATACCACACATGAGAGGCAGCCCACACTCACCCAGCGCCAGCCATGACCCAGTTAGCATAAACAATTCACCAGGTGCTAGGGAAATCATTCTCACTCCTCATTTGCCCAAACAAATCTGTTTTCTCAAAAATGTTGGTACCACCCTTTGTGCCTGTGCTAGCAGAAGAAAGGATAGGGAGCCTAACACTTCAAAATCAGCCCACGCCAATATCATTTTTAATATTTTTAAGAATTTCTCAGTAAGCAGTTGGACATACACACTTATGCAAAACCATGGAATGAATATTTGTCTTAAATTGGACTTCTGAAATACTAGGACTCAACAAAGTTATCTTCAAGATCTATATATCCTTTTTCAATCATAAAAGCAAAGCAAGGGGAGTGTTAATGCCTTTGGCCAAAAGGGGAAAAAAAATGAGAGGGCCAGGCACAGTGGCTCACACCTGTAATTCCAGCACTTTGGGAGGCCGAGGCTGGTGGATGGTTTGAGGCCAGGAGTTAGAGACTAGCCTGGGCAAAATAACAAGATGCCATCTCTACAAAAAATATATATATTTTTAATTAGCTAGGCATGGTAGTGGACACCTGTAGTCCCAGCTACTCAGGAGGCTGAGGCGGGCGGATTGCTTGAACCCTGGACTTCCAGGTTGTAGTGAGCTGTGATCATGCCACTGCACCAGCCTGGGCAATGGAGCGAGATTCTGTCTTTAAAAAAATCAAGAAGAATAAAATCAACCCTACACAACTATTTAATTTTTTTGTATTTACTTTTAATTTCTTTCACGTACCTTTGGAATTTTATAAGGTTATATTTATATTTATATTTATAAAACTGGGGGTATGAATAAGATAGTTTCCCATATTAGCTTAAAAATATCATAGTGTTTAGGACTTGAGCTTTAGAATTGCACAGCTCTGAGTTCAAAGGATGATTTTCACTTCCTAGCTTGTAACTTTAGGCAAGTTATTTAATCTCTCTCTGCCTCACCTTTCCCTTTTGAATGCAAATGACAGTAATAAGAATTCTTAACCCAACAGGTTATTTTGAGGATTAAATGAACCATAGTTTCACAAACTGTGGTATGATATATAATTTTCAGGTAATATGTAACTCTTTCATAATAATCATGTATTTATTTTATGGTGTTTTAGAAAAACATAAATAGAAAAACTAATTAAAATATAAGAATATATAGCCAGCACTGCACACTTACAGACCACTGCTTAGAGCAAGCAGTACAAGAAAAATAGGCTGATTAAGTCCATTTAAGGAGTAATATTAAGTAAATAATAGGCTAGATGGCACTCAGCTACAGCAAAATACATAAAAAGTCATATAGGAATGACTAAAGTTTAGAAACACACAAATATAAAGCACGAAGCAAGACGTCAAGCACCTGATACATGTTTAATGAATGTATCCGTTCTTATGTTAATTATGCTTTAATTTTGTCAAGCCTCAGAGGAAATAGGCAGGGCTTCTGCTTCCCAAGAGAGACCCCCACCCGCCCCATCACTTCTTTTCTCTGATGCCATTTCTTTCCGATTCAAATTTCTAAGCCCTTTGGAGACACGAAACAGCCTTAAAACACAAGAACAAGAACAAGCAGCACAACTTTGATTTTAAAATAAAATTACTAACAAATTCCAAAAGTATCCTCTGTATCATTCTGCCTCTGGGTAACATTAGCTAAACTGTATTGATTTCCTCTGAAATCAGAGCAAACTCTACAGTTTATCATCGATGCAGCTTTGTTTCTAAGTTGGCTTCAAGGTGAGATGACAATTCACTTGCATTTGAGGGAGGATAAAAAAGAATACTCTGGGCTGTGTGAAGTGGCCTGTGACAAGGCATGAACAGGCATGGGAAGAGGGTGATCCATCTGGAGAACTGCACGTGTTAGACTCTGCCTAGGCTGACAGGTTATACTGTAGAGGTGGAGAATGGCGTAAGAGAAGACTAGAACAGCAGGCAGGGGTCATGGCACGTGAGGCTGTGCCATGCCAGACCAAGGAATCCCAAAGCTGATACTGAATCCACTAAAGCAGCGAATACAGAGGAGATGTTATCAGGTCTGCTTTTATAGAGATCATTAACATACAGGACACACTGGGGAGGAAGACCAGAGGCAAGGAGAGGCATCAGGAGGCTATTGCAGTGACTCAAACAAGAAGAAAGCCTAAAGAGGGAACTGACTGAGAGAATTCAAAAGGGGAGAGGATTCTAGAAATATTAAGAAGATTTTTTTCCTGATTATGCGGTGACAAAGTAGGTAGACAGAGAGTGAGAGAGAGGTTCTTTGAATGCTTCCCACATGTTGTATTTGGGCCTGCTCGGTGAATGATGCAACCCTTCCCTGAGAGGGAGAATACAGGAGGATGACCAAGATGAAGGTAGGAAAAAGAAACTCCATTTAAAGCATATTGAGTTTGGAGATCCTATGGAACAGCCAAGCCTAGATTATCAGTATGGAATAAGTTCCATGGATCTAAAGCTTGGTATGGAGATCTTGGAAAACCACCCAAAATATTCTATATTCCTTGGTAACTCCTAAAATAATTTCACTAACATGTTTTACATTGGCCTCTGAATATGTGGTTCTACTGGGCCTTTTATTTTCCTTTCACATTATTTAGAAGATTGGGAGATTGTTTATAAAAACATATTTTCTAAATGAAAAGTTTCTTCTATAAATACAAAATTTTCTTCCTAGCACCAGTACTTACAATTAATACTCTATTTGAAATATTTACATGAGCCAAATGTTTGAAGTCACTAAGATTATTGCAAATTCTGGCTTGTATTTTTATAATAAGCAAAATTCTCAGTTAACACTTATAAGGTCATTTAAAAAAACACACGTGATTTAAAAAAAAAAAAAACCTCAATGCAGCTCAATCATTGTATATAACTATAGCTTGTTCTAAAATGCTGCAAAGGAAGAGGAAAAAGGGAATTCAGTTAGAGCTGGTTAAAAATAGACCTTCCTTTTTAAAAACATTTATTTTAAGTTCAGGGATACATGTGCAGGTTTGTTACATAGGTAAACTTGTGTCATGAGGGTTTGTTGTACAGATTATTTCATTACCCAGGTATTAAGCCTAGTACCCATTTGTTATTTTTCCTGACCCTCTCCCTCCTCCCACCCTCCGGCCTCCAATAGGCCCCAGTGTGTGTTGTTCCCCTTTATGTGCCCATGTGTTCTCATCATTTAGCTCCCACTTATAAGTGAGAACATTTGGTATTTGTTGCTGCATTAGTTTGGTAAGGATAATGGCCTCTAGCTCCATCTATGTCCTTGCAAAGGACATGATCTTGCTCTTTCTTATGGCTGTGGTACATATACACCATGGAATATTATGCAGAATATTACCTTTTTTATTTATTTATTTATTTATTTATTTATTTATTTATTTATTTATTTGAGATGGAGTCTTGCTCTGTTGCCCAGGCTGGAGTGCAGTGGCACGATATTGTCTCACTGCAACCTCTGCCTCCTGGGTTCAAGCAATTCTCCTGCCTCAGCCTCCTGAGTAGCTGGGATTACAGGTGCCCGCCACCATGCCTGGCTAATTTTTGTATTTTCAGTAGAGATGGGGTTTCACCATGTTGGCCAGGCTGGTCTTGAACTCCTGACCTCGTGATCCACCCGCCTTGGCTTCCCAAAGTGCTGGGATTACAGGTGTGAGCCACCATGCCCGGCCATATTACCTTTTTAAAACCCATGCAGTAATATATTCTGTTTCATTTAGTTGATTATGCACTGTTTGGTGACTAAATTTGACAGGTGACAGGCAGAGAAGAAACTACTTGGCTTAGCCCAATTGAATTCTTGTCTCTGAAAAGCTAGACCACATTCCAAACATCACACTGCAAGAGATATTTTTACATTAGCCTTATATCTGATGCTAGCTTAATAATCTGGACATGTACACTGAAATTGCAAAAGAAAATGAGAGTAAGCAGACTCAGACTATGTGCCAAGGGCTTTGTATTTATTATCTCATTTTATCTATAAAAAGGAAATTTATTGGGCACATGATATTGACCCCATTTTAGAGATGAAGTAATCTATGTTTCTAATAATCAAGTGACTTCCCAAGGTCACAGCTACTAGTAATGGAGCCAGAATTATAATCTTGAGCTTTTGGATTCTTCCCACTGCAACTGGTGGTCCTATGTTATCTTGGCGACCATGGAAATACGAGCAAAGACATCCATGTACGGGCATGTGGGGATGGACAGATGCTCACATGTCGCCACACATTCAAAGGTAGAATGTCTCAATGTTGTGCGATACAAATGTGGCAATGGAGCCATTTTATGTCATTATACTCAGGTTCAACTTCTTAAAGGAAAGTTTTACCTTTTTTTTTTTTTTTATTTGGGAAACTATCAAAATGGAATGATGGGGCCTCTGACCCTTATACTGAGTTGCAGAATATGTGATTTGCTTGGAGTTCCTGGGAGGTGGGGGAGGAGGGAAACCTGCCCGAGTCTCCACGGGAGTGTCTTACGATACACATAACTTGTTTTTCCCTCTCACTACCAATGCAACATATAGTAATTATAGAAAAATTTAAAATATATAGGCAAACAACAAAACAAAACTCAACTAGCCCCATCATCTAAAAATAGGTATTCTTTACAACCTGGTGAATATTCTTATATTCTTTTTACACACATGGGCACACACAGATTTTTTTTGGGGGTGCTGTTTAAGACATTTTCATTATTTATTTATTTTTCTTTAGTTCTTCTAAAAAATGGGGTACATGTGCAGAACGTGCAGGTTTGTTACATAGGTATACGTGTGTCATGGCGGTTTGCTGCACCTATTGACCCATCCTCTAAGTTCCCTTCCCTCACCCCTCACCCCAAAACAGGCCCTGGTGTGTGTTGTTCCCCTCCCTGTGTCCACGTGTTCTCATTGTTCAACTCTCACTCATGAGTAAGAACGTACAGTGTTTGGTTTTCTGTTCTTGTGTTAGTTTGCTGAGGATGATGGCTTCCAGCTTCATCCATGTCCCTGCAAAGGACATGATATCATTCCTTTTTATGGCTGTGTAGTATTCCATGGCACACACAGATTTTTCTAACTTAAATCAAGCTCCTCAGATTTATTGCTTTTAATTTTTCTATGTCTGAATTTAAACAATAAAATAATTCTTTTTACCTTGAAGTAGTTCATTCTAACTGAATTATGAAATAATCAGACACAGTTTGGGCTCTGATGGAAAGGTCAACCATGCTTTGCTTTTTCCCAACGGGTGACTTTGCCAGCTGGGTTGATGTCCCTGGATCTGTTCTGCCATTATTTACTAGACAGAGTCTCTGACTAATACCTCGTGATCTAATCACTGTCATCAGCCCATCTGTAGACACAACAGAATGCAAATAAAATATCTATGTAATCTATATTGGGTGGTTCTTCCTTCTTAGACTCATACATTTAGAAATTTTTATGTTCTTTCCCCTCCACAAACACAATATTTCTTCTCCTTATTGTAGATAGATGCATTTTATTATGCATCACCAGCAAATGCCCCAATGTTTCATTTAACAGGATATTTGTAATGTTTCATTTAACCGTGTAATTACTACAATAATAGGACATCAGAGCTGGAAGGTACTTAATTTAATTAGCTCATTTTACAGGTGGTAAAACTGAGGCTTAGGGAAGACAGGAAAAGCAAACACTGTTTATTAAATACCTAACATATAACAGAAACTATGCATATTTGTTTCATTTGAAACTACAAACCTATGAGTTAGATATTATTGCCCCCAATTTATAAGAAACTAAACCTCAGAATGATCAAAAACTGACCGAATACCACACAACCATGAAGAGGTGAAGCCAGGATTCAAACATGAGTCTTTCTGGCTTCACAGCTTTCCCCTACAACATCCTGCCTTTCTGGAGAGAAATAGCTTAGCTAAACCAGATGGAGGTAGATGGTAGCACAGCAGGAGCCAGAACCCAGTTTCTCAATGTCTCATCTGTGCCCATATCTCTACATCCTGTTGTCTTCTTGTATATGGGGCTCAAATAGGATTAAAGCCCCTGCAGCCTTTGCCTCTGAAGTTATTTTGCAAGTAACCAAGCTCAAGAGTTTGCCACGCAAAGATATGTCCAAGTATATATCACTTGTGTGTACACTGAATATGAATTAGAAATACTAGAACCTTTAGATTTCAAAAGATGCCATTAATTACAGCAACTATATTGAAAATCAGCCACGTGGAAGATATAAAATCAAAATATATGAGTCTTAATGTTACCTGTACTATCAAGTAAGATTGGAAAAGTTACTTCTATATCTAAACGAGGAACGCTCAACATTCAAATAATAGAAATCTGCTTGGGTCTCTGCCCAACTCAGTTCAACATACAAAGCCTGAAGCACATTTTCTTTTTCTGCATCTAGCGTGATTCAGCAGCCAGCCCCCAGCCCCTCTGCACAGTGTCTACTTTAAGAAACTGGGAGGAAAGGAAGCAACGAACATTTGTTTCCCGCCTACCATTTGTCAGGCTCTATGTTAGGTGTTTTGCATTTATTACATAATGTTTTATCCTCCCAAGGCCCAGTGAGAGCGTTTATTTTATTTCTAGTTTACATATAAGGAAACCAAAGCTTGGAGAGCTCACTAACTTTTTTACAAGGTCTAATAAGCTTGGGAATTATGCCAAGGTTTAATTTCTCAGCCACAGTCTTGCTTGGAGCTCGCTAGTAATAATAGTCTTAACATAATAAATGTTTATCAGGAATTTCCTTTGCCAAATACTGCTTGAATTATATGCCTGAATCCTTGTAATGGCCCCAACTTGTGGGTACTATGTTAGTCCCATCTTATAGATGTGTAAGAGGTAAGTGACCTGCATGAAATCATGTAACTATTAAGTATGTCATTTGGACACAAACTCAGGAAGGCTAACCTCAAAGATTGTACTGTGAACCATTACTTCCTATTGTCTGGAAGAAAAATAATATCCACATTATTTTGTTAATATATTCATACAAGTGAAAATTATAAAGTACCACAAGGTGAGCAGAGACAAAGGAAGAGAAAGTTACTGTAGTCTCATGGTGGTACTGGAGACAGGAATAAAAACATTTCAGCCACAGAGGATGGGCGGAGTTTAGATATGTTAAGATGGGGAGAAGGAAAAGAAAGGTTTTCCACTGGAAAGATTTGTGCTGTCATTTAATTTTTGTTTTCTGTCTTAAAATTTGCTAATAGTTCAATCAAACTGGTTAAGATTTCAGTTTTCTGATAGACATAGATAGTATTAGGCATTAACAATTGATGCTCTGAGTCCATTGTGAACCCACAGTTATTACTTTTCTATTGCTGCGTATCAAATTACCCCAAAATTTAGTGACTTAAAACAACAAACACACTATCTGACAGTTTCTGTGGGTCAAGAATTAAGGAGAGTCTTAGCTGGGCTGTTGGGGTTTAGGGTCTGAGGTGACAGTCACGAGGTTGGCTGGGGCTGTAGTTAGCTGAAAATTTAACTGAGGCTTTCAAGGTGGCTCATGCCCATGACATCTAGCAGGAGGCTTTGATGCCTTGCTACATGAGCCTCTCCATAGGCTGCTGGTGTGTCTCCATCACGTTGCAACTGACCTTCCCCAAAGCAAGATCCCAAAGAGGAAGCAAGGCAGAAGCCACAAGACATTTTATGACCTAACCTCAGAAGTGATATACTATCACTTATAGCATATTCTTGTGGTCACAGAGACCAAGCCTAATTCAGTGTAGGAAGTGACTACACAAGGGCATGAGTGCCAAGAGTCGGGGTTCATCAAGGGCCATTTTGGAAGCTGGCTACCACAATACAAACGTTTTTACAGGGGCAGGACAATTTCAAAAGAAAGAGGGAGCATAGCTCATACACCTAAACAGTTTTTGTTAATATGTCTCACATCATCAAGTGGTTTCAAAATTAGGCACAATATTGCATAATTATGTAGGCTCTCAGGGAGAGAAGTCACCATACCAATGTTAGGGTAGCTATTGAATTGTCTTTCATTCATGTATATACAGGCAATAAGAAAAGCTAGGTATTCACACTTTAAAGAAGAGTTAGAGCAAAGTCAATATTAGACCCATATTGTTACAGGAAACAGGGCTGGCTTCCATCTCTTTGGGAGCTACATCCTTCAAGGTATGGCTGTACAAGTTGTGGACTTGATTCTTCCTATGAAGTGAATGATGTATCCCTGAAGCTGTGCAACATTAAAGACCTAAGTTGGGGCCCAGAGGAACACAGTAGAGCTGGAACCCTGAGCTGCAATAGTAGAAACAAGGCAGCCACCTCCTCTCCCTGTGTAGCCCACAGAATCAGCCACATACAAAAGGGAACAAATATCAGAACTTTGTGTAGTGGACAGCTCCATTAATGACAAGTTTAAGCAGCGAGAACTGAGATGTACTAATAACATTTCCTCAGATGGTTTGTTTTCTAGCAAAGTATTCATATGCATAGAAAAAGAAAAATGTTCCAGGATCTATGTACTAAATTTAGTTGTAATAAAAAGTCCAAAAAACTTTTTGGTATATTTTTGTGAAACCTATTTAAGATTAGCAAGTTATTACTGAAAGTTGGGTTATTATAGTTAATGATATTCATCCCCATCATTTACATTTTGTAGCTTTTCATGAATGATTTTCAATATTGCCACTATAATTAGTGATGTTGTACTGGGTTTAATTGTGAGGTGTAAGAGTTCTTATATTTCTAACTCATGTTAGATGTGCAAAATGGTGAGATATAATTTATCTATACAACCCAGATTCTAAATCTGCCTGACTATAATATACCAGAATCAATACAAAAATTCAAAGACTGCCAGTAAGTCTAGGACATATTACCCTTAATATCAATACTGTCCACAGTATTATCAATCTGTGGGCAATATCTATGGGCAAATATTAATATCAATATTTGTCCACAGCCTGTGGGACTATCTGACAATGATAATATTTCAGAAAAACTTAAAAGTAAGGATGGGGCATCATCTCTAACCTTTGGAAACTCTCCTAAATAGAAAAGAATAAACATGTTTTTTTACAATCACTTTTTAACTTAAAAAATAATAATTTAAAAATACAAAAATTTGCAAAAACGATATAGTACAAAGAATACATATGTACTCTTCTCAGATTCACCTATTAAAAAATTGCTTCTTGGCCTTTTGGCTAAGATCAAGTGTGGATTCACCTATTAATAACGTTTTACTCCATTTGCTCTCTCTTGTCTCTATTGATCTATTCGTCTAGAGAGGAGTGTGTCTGTGTGCGTATCTGTGTGTACATACGCACATAAAATATATACACACATATACACTCATTTTTACACCGTGTGTGTATATATGTATATGTATATACATATACATATATATACCTTACCCATATATACACACACATTCACAGGTTTCTTAACAATGGGGATATATTCTGAAAAATGTGTCATTAGGCAATTTTGTCATTGTATGAACATCACAGTGTACTTACACAAACCTAGATGATATAGACTACTACACACCTAGGCTATATGGTACAGCCTATTGCTCTAGGCTACTAACTTGCACAGCACGTTTTTGTATTGAATAGCTTAGACAACTGCAGCACAATGCTATTTGTGTATCTAAATATAGAAAAGGTACTGTAAAACTATAGTATAGTTATAGGACCACCATTGTATATGTGATCCATCATTGACCAAAATGCCATTATGTGGCACATGATGGTATATATACAGAGGAGATATTGTTTTATACACACACACACACACACACACGCATGCACACATATGTGTCCAGAGAGATGAGGGAGGAAATATATATGTATGATTGCGTGTGTGTATTTTTATATGTGATTTTATATATGGCTTTATATATATATATACATCTGATTTTTTCTGAACCATCAAAATCCTTTATTCCTAATACTTTACTGTGTATTTCTTTCTTTCTTTCTTTTTTTTTTTTAAGAGACAGGGTCTCTCTCTGTCACTCAGGCTGGAATGCAGTGGTATGATGATGGCTCACTGCAGCCTCAAAGTTCTGGGCTCAAGCGATCCTCTTGCCTCAGTTTCCTAAGTAGCTGGGACTACAGGCGTGTGCCACCAAGCCCAGCTAATTTTTAAAATTTTTTATAGAAACAAAGTTTCATTATGTTGTACAGGCTGGTCTCAAACTCCTGGCCTAAAGTGATCCTCCCTCAAAATGCTGAGATTATAGGCATGAGTCACCATGCCTGGCCCATTTCTTAACAGTGGGAATAGTGTCTTCCATAACCACAGCGCATCTATCCCCTGAAATAAATTTCACACTGATACTTTAATTTAATCTGCTCCTTGTATTTCAATTTTGTCAGTTGACCCAAAAATGTCCTTTAAAGCACTTTCCTCCTCCAGGACAGGAACTAGTCTAGGGTCAATTCAGTCTAAGGTTAGAATCCAGTACTGGTCTAGGGGCTGTCTTCTTTTGCCTTCTTTAATCTGGAATAATTTCACACCCTTAATTTGTCTTTAAAAACACTGGCATTTGTGAAAAATATAGTTTCCTTTCCCTTTAATTTTGTCTAACATTTTCTCATGATTAGACTTATGTTTATGCATTCTAGTCTGGGGTGCTCCAAAGGTGGTTATATATTTCCCTAGACATCACTTCTGGAGGCATCCAATGTCCACTCGTCCCTCGATGGTGATGATAATTTTAATTGCTCGTGAAGGTGCTGTCCCCTTTCTAGTTTGAAACTAGTAAGTGTATGGGGGGAAACTTTAAGGCCATGAAAATATCCCACCCATCATTAAAAATTTTCCCCTAGAGTTAGCATCCCTTATCAGTTCGTGCTTGATCTTTACTATGATGGCTGCAAACTGATGATTTTTCAACTTCTGGCACTTCCTCCACGTTGACGAGCCAGCTCTCAGCATTCTAGTATAAGCAGGAGCCAGGCTGGGCATGGTGGCTCACTCCTGTAATCCTAGCACTTTGGGAGGCCGAGGCAGGCTGATCACTTGAGGTCAGGAGTTGGAGACCAGCCTGGCCAACATGGTGAAACCCTGTCTCTACCAAAAATACAAAAATTAGCCAGACGTCATGGTGTGCGCTTGTAGTCCCGGCTACTCAAGTGGGCTGAGGCAGGAGAATCCCCTTGAACCTGGGAGGCGGAAGTTGCAGTGAGCCGAGATCACGCCACTGCACTCCAGCCTGGGCGACAAGAGTGAAACTCCATCTCAAAAACAAAAACAAACAAACAAAACCAAGAGCCTTCCCCTATTCTGAATTTATTATATTATTTATGTTTTTTAAACCAGTTTTAATCTATCCATTTATTATCAAAACTAATGAGTACCCATATATAATGGTTTATTATTCACTAGTGGACTTCATTGTTTTTGTGTTCAAATTGTCCCAGATTTGGCCCATATAAGCCCCTTCAAACTGAGTGCTGCGACACTCTTGTGACATGTCCTCTGCATTTTGGGGAATGCTGTTTTAACAAGACATAGTAAGGCTTAACTGTCCACAGCAAGAAGCCCACTGTCATCATTCTTTTCTTATGCCTTCATATACTTCCAACTCAGTTATCTGCTGTTCTGTTGTTATTTTTAATGCGGCACAAAATGCTGGGACCTGAATCTTTAAAAGATCATCATTATCAGAAATAGACAGGATGATAGCCTAAAAATAAGGGCGAGACACACCAAAAAAAGACAGAATTTTGAAATAATAAAATGCTGATATGTATAAAGACAGCCCAAGTCATCAATACATTATTTTAATGGATTAATTAAATTTCATATTTATTAATACTGTGGTTTTCTAAGTATTAGTACTTATCTTAAATGCGGTAATTCTCAAACTGATTTCTGCATCTTAATAAGCTAGAAGCTTTTTATAAATAAATAAATAAATTTATTTATTTTTGAGACAGGGTCTCACTCTGTTGCCCAGGCTAGAGTGCAGTGGCATGAAAATGGCTCACTGCAGACTCAGCCTCTTGGTACAAGCGATCCTCCCGTCTCAGCCTCACCAGTAACTTGACCACAGGCACGTACCACCATGCCCAGCTAATGTTTAAATTTTGTAGAGATGGAGTGTTGCAATGTTGCCCAAGCAGGTCTCAAACTCCTGGGCTCAAGCAATCATCCTGCCATAGCCTCCCAAAGTAAATCCAAAGGGATTACAGACATGGGCCACTTTACTGGGCCTTATTTTTTAGTGATATATAACATGTGTAGAGCAACATGCACAAATATAAAACGTGTGACTTGAACTTTTACAAAAGTTATCACCTTTTCTAAAAAGTACAACCACGACCCAAATCAACATACAATTCCCTACATTTCAAAAGATTTCCTTGTGCTCCGTCCAAGACATCTCTCTCACCAACCTTCTATTATGGTATATGAGATTTGCTTATTCTTGAACTTTGTGTAAATGGAATCATGTGGTATGTAGTCTTTCAGGGCTGGCATCTTTTGTTCGACATCATATCTAAGAGATTCGTCCTTGTTGCTGCATGTAGCAGTAGTTTTTTTTTTATGTCTGACAATGTATGAAGACATTACAATTATGTTTATATATTTTCCTGTTGATGGATTGTTCCCAGTTTGGGGTCATTATGAATAAATCTGCTGTGGACATGCTGGTCCATGTCATGGGTCTAGTATGTTTACCCATGTTTATGTAAACAAAGTCTTCCAAGGTGATCTTTACAAGTGATGTTCCCATCAGCATTGCATGGATGCTCCAGTTCCTCCTTATTCTCACCAGTACTGGCATTAAGTGATTTTAAAATTTTAGCCAGATTATAGCCTCATTGAGGCTATAATTTGAATCTACCTCTAAGTAATGTCGCTGAGTATCTTTTCATATGCTTATTTGAACATTTGAAAATCATTTTTTGTATTAAGTGTCTGTTCAAGTTTTTGGTCCATTTAAAAAAAATTGAGTTGAGCTATCTTTTTGTTGCTGTTTAAGGAGATCTTTTACATATTCTGGTTATAAGTCCTTTGTTAAATATGTATTGAAAATATCTTCTCCCAGTCTGTGGCCTGCTTTTCCAATCTCCTAAAGGTGTCTTTCTCATTTTTTTTCTTTTTTTTAAGTAGGCATGTAGTTTATTTTTACCAAGTTCTTGAATATATAAACAGAAAGATGCTTGTAATATTCTCTTATTCTCTTATATCCTTTTAATAGTTTTAGGATCCATAGTGATAACTCCTATTTAATTCCTGATATTGATGATTCATATCTTTTTTTAATTTTACAAGTCTTGCTGGAGCTTAATTAATCATTGATTTTTTTCTTTGGAAAAATGATATTTTTGTTTCATTTATTTTTCAACTCCTAAAATTTTTAATTTCCTTGACCTGCTTTTATCCTTATTAACTCTTACCTCCCGTTTGCTTTAGATTTATTTTTTCTTCTTCTAAGTTTCTAAGATAGAAACTTACATTATTGATTTGAAATATTTTCTCTTATCTAAATAAACATTTAGTGCAATAAATGTCCCAACCAGCACTGTTCATCTCACATACTTTAATATGTTACATTTTTAGTGGTGTCTTATGATGAACAGAAGTTCTTAATTTTAATGGTGTCAGCATGTCTATCTATTCTTTTGTGATTAGTGATTTTTACGCCCTGCTTAAAAATTTTTTGAAGGTCATAAAAATATTCTTTTATGAAAAATTTTTCTTTTAGAAATTTTATTATTATTAACCTTTAATAATATTTTGTTATTAACCTTTAATTTTATTATTAACCTTTCATATTTAAGTCCATGATCCATTTGGAATTTAATATTGTGTGAGGCAGGGATCAAGGTTTATTTTCTTCCACCATATATATACTTGTGTAACCACAAACTATTTCTTGAAAAGTCCATCCTTTCCCCACTATCTTGTAGTGGGACCCTTGTCATAGCCAAGTGACTGTTCATATCTGTTTGTAGATTCTGTATGCTTTTCTGTTGATCTATTTATCTTACTTTCTTTTTGTGTTCTATGTCTTTATAATAAGTCTTGATATCTTCTACTGTAATCCTCCAACTTTACTCTTATTTGTCAAGATTGTGCTGGTCTTCTCCCTCTGCATTTTCATATACATGTTAGAATCTGCTTGTCAAACTCCAAAAAAAAAAAAAAATCACACACTGAGATTTTGATTGGAATTACATTGAACCCATAGGTCAATTTGACAAGATTGATGCCTTGATAATATGTGTCTTTCAATCCATGAGCACGATTATTGCATATTATCTCACTTTTCACTTACTTAGGTCTTCTTAATCTTTTTCAGTAATGTTTTATAGTTTTTCATGCAGAGGACTTGCTTATCTTTTTTAAAATTTATTGATAGATATTTGATGGTTTTGATGCTATTATAAATGGTACTTTAAATTTTTCATTTTCTAATTTTGCTACTATATAGAAAAAATGATTTGGGGGGGATTTTTTGTCTGTTTTTATAAAGGGAAAGCAAGTTTGTTAAGAAAGCAAAGGAATAAAAGAATGGCTACTGTACTGGCAGAGGCATGGGCCACTCAGCTGCTTATACTTACTGTTACTTCTTGATTATATGCTAAACAAAGGGTGGATTATTCATGAGTTTTCCAGGAAAGGGGTGGGTGGTTCCCAGAGCTTAGGGTTCCTCCCCCTTTTTAGACCATATAGGGTGACTTCTGGATGTTGGTATGGCATCTGTAAACTGTCATGGCTCTGATGGGAGTGTCTTTTAGCACGCTAATTCATTATAATTAGCGCATAATGAGAAGTGAGGACAACCAGAGGTCAATCTGGTTGCCATCTTGGTTTTGGTGGGTTCTGGTTGACTTCTTTACCACAACCTGTTTTATCAGCAAGGTCTTTGTGACCTGTATCTTGTGCCAGCCTCATATCTCTTCCTGTGACTTAGAATGCCTAACTTTCTGGGAATGCAGCCTGGTAGGTCTCAGCCTTATTTTACCCAGCCCTTATTCAAGATGGATTTGTTCTGGTTCAAATGCCTCTGACATTTCCTCCTCCCTTTTTACAAGAGAACCCTTAATCCTAAGGGTTATAGAAAGACAAAGATCCAGCTTCCATAACTGCTTCTGGTTGAATAGGGGTGATGATATTCCTAATTATTAGGGTCTCTGGTACTCAGGGTAGAGAGGAGCTCAGTTACAAAGCATACATATGGCAAGGGTCATTCATAACTCTCAGATCTGGCAAAAGATGATATCTGGAAGAATAATAAGTGTTCAATTTAAGAAAATATTCAGTAAGCTTATCTGGCATTCCTACACAAAGAGTACAACAGCAAATATATTCCACAACAGTAAAGGAAAATTATTCCAAGTAAACTAAATAAGAAGGCTTTCCAGGAACTGGGCAATTGTTGGAACCAACCTGATATGGAGTCACTAGCTGATTCCAATATGTGCCCAGAATTTAGAGTATTAATCCAGATTGTTGCATTACCCATTCCCTTTCGTTTTTGTTTCTTCTGAGCAGCACCCAGAGATTACTTGTTAGTTCACAAGAATAAGCAGGGTTAGTCTAAATTGCAGGAAAAAAAAAAAAAAAACAAACGTAAAAACAACTGATGACACTAGAATCTAATAACAGGTGAACCACAGTTCCTGAAACATAATTTTTCTCTCTCCAGTCTCCCACTTTTGCTAAAGACAAATCATAATAGAACCAATTTGTTTGCAAAAGTAAACCTTAGTCTTATACTTGCCCTGATTATTTGTATAAAGTGCAGCAAGAATAATTACCTTTCACATAGGCTTTTAAATTGGCTTTGATGGAACTTTATTCCATAAAGAAACTCAGATAAGAGTTTTCTAAAGCCAAGTCCAGCCATGGCTTTGTACCATTAAATATCTATATGATTCCTCTCCTCTTGAGGTCCCTAGATAACCTGGGGCTGCTGGGCCTGTCAGAAAGTGTTATTCTTAGGGATCAATGCAACAAGAAGAGCTAACTATCTTAAATATATATGCACCCAATATGGGAGCACCCAGATTCATAAAGCAAGTCCTTAGAGACCTACAGAGACTTAGACTACCACACAATAATAATGGGAGACTTTAACACTCCACTGTCAACATTAGACAGATCAACGAGACAGAAAGTTAACAAGGATATCCAGGAATTGAACTCAGCTCTGCACCAAGTGGACCTAATAGACATCTACAGAACTCTCCACCCCAAATCAACAGAATATACATTCTTCTCAGCACCACATCGCACTTATTCCAAAATTGACCACATAGTTGGAAGTAAAGCACTCCTCAGCAAATGTAAAAGAACAGAAATTATAACAAACTGTCTCTCAGACCACAGTGCAATCAAACTAGAACTCAGGATTAAGAAACTCACTCAAAACCGCTCAACTACATGGAAACTGAACAACCTGCTCCTGAATGACTACTGGGTACATCACGAAATGAAGGCAGAAATAAATATGTTCTTTGAAAGAAAATGTTATTCTTTACTTACCATAGGTCAGGAGCCCTGTACAAGTACTGTGTAGACAAGGTATGAGGCCAGTTTTCCCAAGGGGCTTTTATTGGCTCTATAAGTCAAATTTGCTTCCTTAAAGGGAACCACGCCATTCCCATCAAAGCCTTGGCAAAATAACCAGTTTCTCCAATTGTGTCCTGTTGCAAAAGAAAGCAGATTCTCATTGCACTTATGCAAACAAGTATATTGCCATAAGTTAAGAATATTCACAAATAGTTTCCAAATTTTGGAGAAATCAGGAAGAGAGAAAGAAATGTGCTCCAAATTTTGTTCACAGGAGTACACTTTACTCAATTGTTAAAAGCTGTCAATAAAAAGAAAAGTTTCCTTGACTCCAAAATCGGCCAGTCAGTGCTGCAATCTATTTCCTTTGGGTCTGGAGTCTCCTCAATATCATCCCTTCATGTTTCGTAAGGAAGATGTTATCAGAAAGGGGTCCCAATCCAGTCCCCAAGAGAGGGTTCTTGGATTTCACCCAAGAAAGAATTTGAGGCAAATCCATAGAGTAAAGTTAAAGCAAGTTTATTAAGAATCCAAAGGAATAAAAGAATAGCTATTCCATAGGCAGAGCAGCAAAAAAATGATGTTTTATGCTGATATTGTATCCAGTGACATTCTGAAAATTACTTATTTCTAACAGTCTGTGGATTCTTATGAATTCCATAGGTATAAAATCATAACATATTTGACTAACAACAATTTTATTCTTGCCTTCCAATCATTATATCTCTGGAATTTTTTTTTACTTGCCTTACTTCCCTGGCCAGGACCTCCAGTATAATGTTAAATAGAAGTGATGAGAGTGGATAGAGTTGAGAGTCTTTTGAAAATCTAGGTATACAGGTCTCATCTCCTCAAATTCTGATTCAGTAGGTTCAGATTGGGGGCCTGAAAAATAGACATTTTAACAAGTATCGCAAGTGATTCTGATGTAGGAGTGTCCTAGAAACATATTTTGAGTAATATTTTTAAAGGGTAAGGTTTACTTACTTGAAAAATTTTCTTAATGGGGATGGAATATCACATCCTTCTTTCTCCCTCCGCTTCTCACCTCCATCCTCTTCCATAGCAGTTGGATGTATGAAGTGTAATTTTCCTGAGCTCTCTGTTGGGCTGCTTCTTTTTCTTTGGCTGTAGTTCTGGATATAACACACATTTAAGAGTCTACAGTGTTAAAATGTTGACTGGTTTTAGGAAAAGGAAAAGAGAAAATGCCTTCTTCCCAAGTCAGGAGTCATATTTAGAAAGACGCAATCATGGGTGGCAGTGGGGTGGGGAGGGTGCATAAAAACTACATTTAGAAGTCATTGAGGTCACAGTTGAATTCAATGCTTCTGTACAGATGCCTACATCCACATATTCACACATATAAACAATCATGTGGGTGTTGTCACATGATGGAAACAGCATGAGGGGGAAAAATAGATTCTAAAGGATGCAGAGTTATATAAAATAGACTTAAAAAATAGGAAATCACCTGGGTAGAAGTATGGATGCCATGTGGTTTTCTAAATATAATTCATTACAAAGGACCAATGTATTTTCTTAGATTAAGAGACAAAATACACCACAGATATTTATGGAAAGCAGAGATACAAGAATAGCTACAAATAACACTAGAGTATTGGAGTTAGGCAGCGCCTTTAAGATCATGATATCTGACCCTTGCATTTTTATAGTGGAGGTGAATGGGACCCATGCTGGTAGAGTGACTTGCCCAGTGTCACTTGGGTGGGGTAGTAGTACTACTGGCAGTGGCACCCACCATCTTGATGCCTACCCCTAGCGCTCTTCCACTGATGTCATGCAGCCAGATGTTTTATGAAAAGAGGTCATGAATATGAAAGGAGTCCCAGAGACTAAAGAATGTGGAAATATTGGGACAAGCCCTTAAAATGAGTCCTTTGTATAGGGTAACAGGGGATACATGAAAAGGGACTGACTGTGTGGAACTGTTACGAAGACTAAGGAAGGGTGTGAGAAAAGAAAGGCAAAGTAAAAAGAGAATAGAAAAAATTAGATGAAAGACAAAGAAAGTAAATCACAGAAGTCAAGAAATGGAAGATAACAATTAGAAATAAAAATGTGATAAAAGAATTCAAGGCTGGACACAATGGCTCAGGCCTGTAATGCCAACACTTTGGGAGGCTGAATTGGGCGGATTGCTTGAAACCAGGAGTTTGAGACCAGCTACGTCAACATAGCGAAACTCTAGCTCTACAAAAAATATAAAAATTAGCCAGGCTTGGTGGAGGCATGTAGCTGTGGTCCCAGCTACTTAGGAGGTTGAGGTGGAAGGATTGCTTGAGCCTGGGGAGGTGGAGGCTGCAGTGAGTCGAGACTGCATCACTGCACTCCAACCTGGGTGACAGAGTGAGAGCCTGTCTCAAAAAGAATTCAATAACACAGAGATAAATGTAGTATTTCTATGCCCATTTTTGTCAAAAGTTTAGCTATCTGGAATTATTTCAATAATAAAATAGCCTATAATGAAATAATACAAAAGTGCATTTAAACTCCTTTGAAGAAGGATAAAGCTAAAGTGGTAGCAATATTAAGTTCCTAATCCTCTAAAATGTTAAATGAATAAGAAACAGGAATTCAAAGATGTACTTCTCTGAAATGGCAGAGCTAAGTGTAGATATTCCTCCAGATGACGTTATCATTTTTCCAGAGACATGGCTGATGAATGAGAATAGAAAGGAATGGGGAATTCCAAATTCTGAACAATCAAATAGATTGCATTAATTCACAGGAGGCACCATTCATACAGTATTTAGAATTGTTTATTTCCTTACATTTTGCACTTCCTTAAGAACCTGAACCCGAAAGTTGTAATCAATAGATTGGTTTACAGCCTGTTAGTCCTTTAAAAGTATTAACTTTCATAATTCATTTGATGAGCCATATAGGACTCCGCTGCGCCTCTTGGAAGAGGAGGCCTTCACTTTAAAACTATGTTTAACAGTGATAAACGGGAAATAATAATGAGGCATATGTCATAGAACAGTGAATCTGAAAGGTGGCTAATCAGTCAAATATATATACTTAGCAAATCCAAATACTAGTTAAGGGCATAGGATTTGAAATCAGGCATACATGGATTTGGTCCCCAGTTCAGCCACTCATTAGTTATGAGTACTCACAACCCTCCTTCACTTCTTTTCTTTTTTTTCTTCTTCCTTCTTCTCTCCCTCCCTCTCTTCCTTTACTTTATTCAAAAATAGCTGTTCGTCAGCTGTGGTGGCTCATGCTTGTATTCCCAGCAGTTTGAGAGACCCAGACAGGAGGATCCTTTGAGGCCAAGGATCTGAGATCAGCCTGGACAACATACTGAGACCGCATCTCTACAAAAAAGAAAAAAAAATTAGTTGGGCATGGTGGTGCATGCCTGTAATCCTAGCTACTCAGGAGGCTTGGGTGGGAGGATTGCTTGAGCCCAAGGAAGTCAGGACTGTAGTGAGTTAAGGTCATGCCATTGCACTCCAGTCTCAAAACAAACAAAACTTGCTGAAAATTTAATTACTATATGCTGGGTTCATGCCATAAACTAATGAGCTAGTCACTTCACATTTCTGAGAGAGAACAGGAAATGTTTATAGTTAAGAAATTTGTGGTGCGTCACTTAAGCAAAGGTGCAGATACAAAAATGAGCCAGATTTGTTGGGGTGGCTCCAAGCAGACTGGAGGTAAATAATGGGAGATGAGGATGGGAAAGACAGGTTGTAGAGGGCTCTTAATGCCAGCATAAGCAGTTTCAGATTAACACAGAGAACTGGCCAACAATTAGAAATCAGATTAGGGAGATAGCCTAGCAAAGGATGGGATTATTTCAAGAATGATGGATTACTAAGTATTTCAGAGAAGCTAAGAAAGAATTAGTTTTGACTATTAGAAGGACATGGATAGAAGGCTTTTAAAATAACAGAAACCAATGACGGGGATGAAAGGACGAGATTGGAGTGTAAAAACAGAGACTGATGGCCAGGAGTTCCACGGGAAGATTAAACAGAATGGGAAGGAAACATTATGGTACAGATAGAGGAAGCAGCAAGGCCAAAGGCAGGTATATTTTTCCTAAAATGAGTAGTTACTATGCACGTGTGAAGGTAAAAGACCAATGAAGAGAGAAGAAGATTCTAGAATGAGAAAAGGCAAGTGGAGAGTTAGAACTGACCGCTGAAGTGGAGAGGGGGGGCTTGCACAGTCAGATCAGCACTTCCCCTGAGTCCACACTGAGATGCCCTTTGTAGCAGGGAGGGAAGCAAGGTAAGATTTAATCTGTACTCCAGGTGGGCACTTATTAGATAGAAGAGTGGTAAACTCAGGCCACAAAAAGACTAAGTTCCTACAGCTGCAGAAAGACAAACATTAAAGGGTTTAGCCCATCAATAGGTTCAGCAGGAGCATCAAACCATTCTTATTCACACCCCAGAAACCTTTCTAGGTTCTTCTGCTGTGTTACAGGTAGGGTTGCAGGGGGCAGTGCAGGCGTTCAAAGAAATGTAAAGTCCCCTTGATCACCTCTCCTGCAGAAACAATGTTGCCAGGTTGTAGAGGCTACAAGTCCAACCCAAACACTATTATTTGTGACCAAATAAAGAGGAATTCGGTTAAAATGAATGAGTACTTATGTAGAGATAACACAACCCAGAAGTTAGTGGTTAGAAAAGGCCACTCAATTCTGCATGCATATACCTACTTTACATTCAAAATACCAACTCTAGAAACCTTACTACCAAACGGCTCCCAAACTTGTAGACATTTTTCCTCCACTCCCCACCTCTAAGTTGTAAGGGGGCAGATAAGAAAACTTCTGAAGATTTCAGATCTAGTTCTCTTTCTGTTTGAGCTCTTGCCTGGCAGTAAGGGAGTAGAGAGGGCTGGGCTGGGCACAATGCCCTCCTCCATGACCAGCGGGACCAGGGCTTGCACCCCAGAAGTAGTAACTCCACGCACGGAGCTGGGACCGCGGGCGCGGCACGCTCACATAGAGCAGCCTGTGGGTGAAGGAGACCGTAGTGTGCACTTGGGCAGCGTAAGCGCGTTTGGCGGGAGAGGGCACAGTGCTGACTGGGCATCTCTGCGTTGGAGTCGTCCCTTTCGCAAGAGCCTATCTGTGCCAAGGGCTGGAAACTGGGGCTGCAGGCGGGAGGCGGGGTGTCAGCCAAAAGCACTGGCCCCTCGGCCCTGTGGCTGGGAGAGGAGTCTGGGGGAGCCCCGGGCGCCAGCCAGGGATAGCCTGATCTCTGCTCCAGTCCACAGATCCTTAACGGATTTTCTTTCTCTCCCTTCACCCCTTTCTCTCCTTTGCTCTCTTTCTTTCTCTCTCCCTTTTTTTTCCTTTTTCCCTCTCTTTCCCACTCCCTCCCCACCCCTTCCCTTCCTCTCCCCTCCCCCTTCCCCTCCCCCTCCCCCGTGCGCGAGCCTCTTCCTCTCCCCTCCTCCCCCTTCCGCCTCTCTCCCTCTCCCTCCGTCTCCTTCTCCCTCTCAGCTCGCCGGGCGACCCTGCTCCTGCCTCCCACATTAATGGCGGCATCCTCGGAGGATGATATAGACCGGCGGCCCATCCGGAGAGTGCGCTCCAAGAGCGACACGCCGTACCTCGCAGAGGCCAGGATCTCCTTTAACCTGGGGGCAGGTAAGAACGCCCCTGGCGCCGCGCCCCCGCCCCCGCCCTGCTCCCTCCCTCCCCGGCTGTTGAGCCCCCGCCCCTCCCGGGCGTCCTCCCCGCCGCCCCCCGCAGTCGGGCGCTCAGCACTCGCGCTCTTTGTGTCTCCGGTGCGCAGAGGGCGTGTGTGCGAGCTACGGGGTGGGGGAGGGCGGCGCGTGCAGCCCCACATCCGCCCGAGTCCCACGCGGGCTTCCCCGGCACGGGGAGGAGGAAGTGCTGTCAGTGACCACAGTGATCCCGGGAATAACCCGGAGCCCGGGCCGCGCGCCCATGCGCAGGCTGCGGGCGCGGGGTCTGGCGAGGCTCCCCGGGCGAGGTTGGCTGGCGCGGCTACTACGGGGTGGAACTTGTTGGTGACATTCAGACTCTGTTGGCTTTGACGGGTTGACGCCGCCGCTGCGGTGTTGGAGTGGGGAGAGGGGGCGGGGCTGGCCGCCTGGAACGGAACCTTTTCCTTGCACCAAGCAGCTGGGAAGCTACCGTGCTGGTCATAATAGCATGGTCTGGAGAATGCACGTTAGGTGACTTGATGCTGTCCCTGGAACTGGTGCCCAAAGTGGCCCAGATCGAATTAAGTGAAAAGGGTAACTGAGGTACATGAAGGAGAGAAGAAATGAGAAGGGAAGATAGGGAGGAAAGGAAGGAAACGAGGGAAGGCAGTGGGGCGCTAGGGAAGAAAAGAAGGAAGGAGGGAAGGAAGGAAGGAAAGAAGGAGGGAAGGAAGGAAGGGGGGAAGGAAGGGAGGAGGGAGGGGGAAGGAAAGCAACAGAAGGAGGACTGAGGGATTCAGAGTCAAAAAATGCCTCAGTTGAGTCCACTGAAGGTTACTCAATGAGTAAAGTCCAGCATCTACTGTTCCCTCTGCTGCTGCTGCTCCTAACTCGACTCTAGAGTGCCTTACTCGTGTGTGGTCACTATCACTGGGAAGAAGTTGTTCACCACTAACTTCATAGCTCTGCCTTTTCTGAATGACTCCTAAGCTTCCATCCTAGTTTGTTTTCTCTTCCTGTCCAAGGTCCCTTATTATTCTAGCAACTATAATAAAAGTGAGGGCATTTTCCTGAAGACTGCCTTTCAAAATAAGTTATAAAGCAGATGGTAGGTTTTGCTTTAGGAAACTAAACTCTTGGAAATGGGACTAAATCAAACAAAATGTGTGTGTGTGTGTGTGCGCGTGCGTGCGCGTGCATGGTGCATGTGTTAGAGCAAAGAGAACCTTCAGATGATGGGTATTTATGCCCTGTTGAGAAGTTTCGACAAAAGAGAAAACTGCATAGAAAAACAAGATGCACTGACTAAGCAACCATACCCTTATGGCTGGAAGAATGGTAACTGAATGTGCCAGAGTGGCCAACTGCCTTGGAATATAATTTTCCTGTCTTGATGATTTGTGGTTTTAATCATGTATATCTTGTCACTTCTTAAATGTTTGCCTCTGACTTTGGAGCTGAAGACAAGTTTATTTAGAAAGCTTTGGCATTTTCTATGGCATGCTGTAGTAGTCCATGGTTCCCACTTTGGAATTGTTAATCCCCTACTTCTATGTTTCAGATTCAGCGTATGGTTGTGAGGGGTCTCACAAAGGACCGATAATAGTTTCTTTTAGGAGCAAGATTGTTTTCCCAACCAAGTGATATTGGAAATTAGTCTATTGACCCCTTTGCTTAGCCCAGGAGGAACAGAGCCAAAGCAGCAGTTAGTAAATGTTGTTTACCTTCTACTAGTACTTTTATCACAAAACAATAAAATAAAGTGCTAAACAAGAGTTTCAAGTTTCAGCTGCTACTCAATTAATTACTTTGTCACCAGATTAAACCTAGTGACTTGCAATCTTTTATTTTGGTTAAATTGCTCTGGAGTCCAATTTAAAGATTGGCTCAGACAGGACTTATCTATGTTTCATCTGGAAATAAATAAGCCAGACAAGCACTCAGTCCCTTCTATATGTCCCTTAAAATATTCCTAATGTAAAGTGTCAAGAAAGACACCAGTAAGAGAGAAATGCAGAGAGGATATTGTTAAAGGAGGAAGGGCATTAGCAGCCTGGTCTGTACTGCAGTCAGGGGAGCTGTCCTCCCTTGGTGGTGCTGAAGCGAGACAGAGAAGTGACTGTAAGTTGGACAGTGGAGGGATGGGTACTCTTTCCCTCCTGTGATGGAATCCCGAAGAAAATGCATAAGATCAGGCTACCAAAAACTTTTTCATCCCTCTCCACCTACATTTGCTGCCTATTTACTACGCATCACGCCTACTGCTCCGCTGCTCAAATCGGGCGTTTATGCTCTAATTTTGCGCCAACTGCTCACTCCTGGGGCTTGTTTATTTCCAGCTGGTTTCTGGTTGCTTCCCTAACGAAGTAAGATCCACTCACAGATGTGCCTTTCTCCCGCATTTAAGAGTAATTGTAACCCCTGGTTTTAAAAGCAAACAGCCTTGTTTATCTCCTTAAGCAGCAAGTTGTAATTAAACTATTAGTGTTGTTATCAGCATTGCTGAACAGAGAAGCATGCACACTCCCAATAAATTACATAATCTGGGCATAGAGATAATTTTGTTTATGTCTTAACCACAATTTATGAACACTTAAGCAAGTCCTGTGCCCTTTCTTTCCAATCCTGCCCCCAAACAATTACTTATTGTTTATTCTTTCCAGAGAAATTTTTTATTGGCTTAAACTATTTATGTTTAATATTTGCTTTCCCACACCAGTAATTATACATAAACCCATGTTTGATATTTTAGAGGTTTAGCAATGCTTCAAGGAATACATATACATATATTCCTTTTACTTGGCTGTCACTAAATCATTAAACTAATCGTCCAGTTGCCAAATAAAGTGGACTGGGCATTTTGAATACTAATTAAACACTTAAGGATTTTTCAACTACACCCTATCTCCAACAGTACTTAATAATATCATTTCAGAAATAACTCTGCAGCTTGAGTGAAGGATATACTTCTTCACCTACAGTGGCAAGTCAGTCAAAGAATAGCACCAAAATGTGGGTCTTTCATCAATGTATGAAGATGCTAATTTCAAGTTTCAGCTAAAATTGAGAGCATAGATAACAGAAATTTTCTGAACCATGACTTTTATTTTTCTAAGAGTCCTTTTTCTAGGTTTTTAACTTCTGTTCAGCATTTAGTAGACACAAACATTGATAGATGATTGAAGATGTTATCAGTGCAAAAGAAAATTAAGTCAATATATCTGTCGAAGGTTACCCAGACACATCAAAGATTAAAACATTCAAAAAGGGATTTTTCCCCTAAGGAATTCAAATGTGTTAAAAGGACATCCTGGAACAGAAGAGTCTGTTCACACTATTAGTAGCAAGTGTTTCTAATTGTATTCTCACTTAGAATGAACCCATCACTGACATTTATCTTGTAAGAGTGCAGCCTGCCTTATGAGGTCGTTCATTCACTGCATTGCAGTCAGTGCAATGAAGAGTTGCAGCTCATCTGGCAGGTACATTCCCATGGGCTAGTGTATTCTATTTATCTTTAGATTGACAGTATATGGAGGATTACCTGATACATAGAAGCTGCTGAAACTGAAAAACTCTATAATTACATACTAAAGTGAATGAAAGTAAGTAGAAAAATTAAGCCCATCTTATATTTCTTAAAGGGGTGTCAAAAGAAGGAAAGCAAGGCATCCTGATGATTTAGGCACAAAACCATTATTAGGCACTATTGAGAAAAATGTGTCCTTTTCTAATCATAAGGAGGTTTAACTTCTGTTGATATATCAGAATTGCTTTGTATGGGGGAGAATTTAAATTAACAGTATGGTCAACACCAGCATAATTATTCTCTTTGGAAAGCTGAGATCTGTTTTGGTTCTGGATGTCCACCAAGGATAGCTGTTTCTGGCCTTCACTGGTCTCTTTCACCCTTTCAGGCCCAGAGGACAATGGCAGTCAGAACTGGCTTGCTATGGTTTCCTATAAGGATGGATGGGTCTACAAAAAGAAGTTATAAACTAGGTCCCAGGGTACCTCTCTTCCACCCTTATCGCTTAGCTAAATAATGGAGGCCCATGATATAGAGAAGTGGCAGCTCAGAATGTGCCATCATCACTTAGCAATGAGAACTGTCCCTAGGCAAGTTGTAAATATATATATATATATATATATATATATTTTTTTTTTGAGACAGAGTCTCACTCTGTCACCCAGGCTGGAGTGCAGTGGTGCCATCTTGGCTCACTGCAAGTTCCGCTTCCCAGGTTCATGCCATTCTCCTGCCTCAGCCTCCCGAGTAGCTGGGACTACAGGCACCTGCCACCACGCCTGGCTATTTTTTTTTTTTTTTTTTGTATTTTTAGTGGAGATGGGGTTTCACTGTATTAGACAAGATGGTCTCGATCTCCTGACCTCGTGATCCACCTGCCTTGGCCTCCCAAAGTGCTGGGATTACAGGTGTGAGCCAGTGCGCCTGGGCTGGCAAATTGTAAATATTATTGCCATCCTGATCTGAGATTGCTTCACCAACCTAAAGGTTTTGATAGGCATCCTCCTTCACTCTTTTGCTGAAGAATGCCAGTGTGTTCCTCACTATATTTTTTGTTACTGATTGTAAATTGAAGGCAGACCATGTGGGTCTGGCTTTTATTTGGTGGCCCAAACTCTTAAGTATTGCTTCCTGTATTTGGTAGGCAGAATTCAAATGGTGGATCTCACAGCTCACCAGGAGCCTCTAGTGTAGAAGCCTTCCCTCCTTCTGTGCTATATATAGTTAGAGCTAGCTAACCTGATAATCTCATTATGTCATGCATTAAGATGGTACCAGTGAAGATCACCCCAGATAGTGTAATGAATATTTGAAAGGTACAAGGAAGTAAGTACAGTCGGCCTTCGGCATTCATGGGTTCCACATCTGTGGATTCAACCAACCAGGGATGGGACATATTTTTAAAAAATGAATGGCTGCGTCTGTACTGAACATGTAAAGAGTTATTTCATTATTTCCTAAATCATATAACAACTATTTACGTAGCATTTACACTGTATTAGGTATTATAAGTAATCTAGAGATAATTTAAAGTATACAGGAGGATGTGCTTAGGTTATATGCAAATACTACACTATTTTATGTAAAGGATTTGAGTATCCACGCATTTTGTTATTCGCAGGGGATCTTGGAACCAATCTCATGGTTACCAAGGGGTGGCTGTAATTAACACTATGAGTAAATGGGAAGCACTTTCCCATAAATATTTGTGAAACAACTTGAACACAGAATCTATGTTGGGTAATTAGATTTTCTTAGACTCTTTGGTCTGAGCATCATTATTATTTTTAAACATGTAAGTATGGTATTTACAATTACCTTATGGCTACATGGTAAATTACTTTTTTGGTTTGTCTATATATGTCTATATAATTTAATTCTATAAAATCCCACAGAGGCGTGTTTTATAGGAAATATCTGAGGCAAGAGTCAGAAGAATTTGATTCTAATGCATCAATTTCCTAAGACCATGGGCAAGCCATTTAACCTTTTGGGGTTTGATTCACTCAGCTCTAAGATGAGGGTTTTAGATTTAAAGTCTCTGAAGTCCCATTCAATCTAAAAATAACTGACACTTCTAACTCCAGCTGTATTACTGGATACATACTACACCTGATTTTATAGATAGTCTTATTTGTTGTATAAAACATATAAAATAGCTTCATTACAATAAGAATGAAAATATTTGATCACAGCAAAGTTATGGAAATTTTTGAGTTAAAAGAAGAATGAATCTCTATTATATAGGCACATTTATATACAAAATATTAGTTATATTTTTAATTTGAATATTCAGGGATTATTCAAATTGATGATCTCTAGATATTTGTTGTATAATAGAGTAAGATATTAAAGAAATTTTAGCAATAAATGGAGAGTGAGGAAACTAAATACTAATTCGGCTCCTAATTGGCATTTCAAGTCTTTTAACCTGTTCTCCTTTATAATTAAAATTAAACGGGTATGTAAGATCTATATTTCCCCTTTACCCTTTTAGATTACCAGGGAAGGTAAACATGTGGGCAGACCAGCTAAATGGCAGAATCCTACAAAACAAAATATCTCTTTGGAATTCACAGAAAGAAGGATCCTAACCTCTAAGCACTGACCTAGCCATGAAATACAAAGAAACTTCTTTCCCTTTTTCTTCACGTGCATATAAACTGACAGGTTCATCACCTACCAGTCATAATAAATGCGGCAGAGGCACATTAATACATTTTCATACGTAGATTCTAACACTAAAGCAAAAAAAATGTAAAGTTATTTATGGAGTCGCTTTTTGACATATGCAACTTGAATTCATGATCATTATTTAGTGTACAAGAATTAAAATTCAGGTGGGAACAGAAGACAATTTGTAGAGCTTTTTTTCTCCTTGAGTTTATGGGGTGAAAAAGGGGACATACATTACAGCCAATGTCTTGTAAGGGCCTGAAAGAACAGTTGATATAACATTTTCTTCATTGTATGGTACAAGAGAAACTCTAGTGTTTCATATTTTGTTTCTCACTTTCCTTACCCACTTTGGTAGGTGCTAAAGTGGATGTGATTTCGGGGTGGGGGAGTGGGCAGTATTGACATTTTAATTGCTTTAATTTACAAGTCTTCTATATAATGAAGGGTAGTTAAATAAAAGACAAAATCAATTTTATGGCCTTGTTGAATGATGACAGATTAGCATGACTTTCTACACAGTTACTGAAGGACAACAGGAATAATATCACACTAGTAGTTGTTTAACATTTGTGAATGTAAGTGCGGTGTAAAAGCCTGTAGGCTTTCTATTGATCCTTGTTGCCACATTTGTATACATTAAACTAGCAATTCAGCAGCAGAATCTTTGATAGCAAATACTTGGGCTGTAACTGTAGATGAGACTTTAATATACATCTTGGTTTTGAGATAATTCTGAACTTTATCAATATGTTCATTTGCCATTTGTAGACATGGAAAGGCCATTATTGCCAGATCTCTATCAACCAAACACTAGGTGGTCGAATATTAAATCATGGTTTAATCAGAGGTACAGAAAAACCTGTATTATTCGTGAGTTTCTCTCTTATTCCACCTGGGCCCTTTTTTAGACCGTTTTTTAGGCACTTGAGATACATCAGTGATCAAAACAAATAGCATCTTACTTTCATGAATTTTTACTACCAAAAGTGGATTATGAGCAAGAAACGTTAGATATATCAGTAAATTGTATTGTATGTTATAAGTCAATGTGTTAAGACAAAAATGAATAAGGCAGACTAAGAGGGTACGGCATATGGGAGCAGGAAGAGGAGAGGATTTCAAGATAGACAACATGGAGGAGAAGGGCTTTGAACACAGTTCTTCAGTGCGGGTAAAAGAATGAACAATGCCCATATGGGGTGGGGAGCAGAGTGAGAGAGAGCTGAGGACAAGCAAGTGAAAAGGACCTAAACTAGAGTGTTCCTGGCATGGCAAGGAGACCGGTGTGGCTGGGGAGGAGTAAGGAAGGGAGACGAAGAGGGGGATTGAGAAGGAATGGGGACTAGAAAAGATTTGGTGGACCTTGCAAAGACTTTGACTTTACTCTCAGTGAAGTGTGGAGCACTGCAGGGATTTGCGCATAGGAGTAACACCGTCTGACAGATTTTTTAAAGGATCACTGGGGCTGTTGAGTTCAGAACAGACTAGAGAGGGGCACCGAAGAAGCAGAGAAGCCAGTTTGGAGGCTATGAACGGTGGTGGCTCATCAGCGTGGTACAGCAGAAACAGTGGAAAGTGGTAAAGGTCCTTGTGTATTTGAAGATACAGCCAGTATGCGTTCATGATGGATTGAATGTAGGTTGTGAGAGGAGAAGAGCAAGCAGTAATTCATAGGTTTCACCTGAGCAGTAGGAGGGATAGAACGATCATTTGGGGGCACGGAGGATTGGTCAGGAGCTCAGAGAAAGACATGTCAAGTGTAAGACCTCTATCAGACATCCAAGTGGCTACATTTAAAAAGCAGTTATGGCCAGGTGTGGTGGCTTACACCTCTAATTCTAGCACCTTAGGAGGCCAAGGTGGGCGGATCACCTGAGGTCAGGAGTTCGAGACGAGCCTGGCCAACACGGTGAAACCCCGTCTCTACTAAAATACAAAAAATCAGTCTGACGTGGTGGTGTGTACCTGCAGTCCCAGCTCCTCTGGAGGCTGAGGCAGGATAATTGCTTGAACCCGAGAGGCGGAGGTTACAGTGAGCCGAGGTCAAGCCACTGCACTCCAGCCTGGGAGACAAAGTGAAACTCTGTCTCAAAAAAAATGAAAAAGCAGTTATGCAAGTCACAGGTTAAAAATGAGGTCTGGGCTGGGGGCAGTGGCTCACACCTGTAATCCAAGCACTTTGGGAGGCTGAGGCAGGCAGATTACAAGGTCAGGAATTCGAGACCAGCCTGACCAACATGGTGAAACTCAGTCTCTACTAAAAATCCAAAAGTTAGCCGGTGTGGGGGCACACACCTGTAGTCACAGCTACTCGGGAGGCTGAGGCAGGAGAATTGCTTGAACCCAGGAGGCGGAGGTGAGCAGAGACCATGTGAGCAGAGACCCAGTGAGCAGAGACCACGCCATTGCCCTCCAGCCTGGGTGAAAGAGCGAGACTCTCTTTCTAAAAAAAAAAAAAAAAAAAAGGGCCCAGAGATAAATATTTGACATTATAAGCATTTTCTTATTTATTCTCACAATGACCCCATCAGATTGACATCATTATTATTATCCTAATTTTATCCACGTGGAAATAAATCACAGAGAAGTTACATGACATAGTGAAGGTACTACAGCTAATAAGAGAAAGAACTGGAATTTGGATTCTGTTTCATATGACTTCAAAACCTGTATACTTAATAGACATGATTTACCACAAGACAGCAAGCTTACATTACTAGCTTTTCTATGGGGTCACATTTAAAGCTGGACATTGCTAAAGGAAAGAAGAGATGGAACTAGGAATGTATCCTACCCTAGTATTAAAAAAAGAAAATTGGGGCCAGGCACAGTGGCTCACGCCTGTGATCCTTGCGTTTTGGGAGGCTGAGGCGGGTGGATCACTTGAGGTCAGGAGTTCGAGACCAGCCTAGCCAACATGGTGAAACCCTGTCTCTACTGAAAATTCAAAAAATTAGCCAGGCATGGTGGCACATGCCTGTAATCTCAGCTACTGGGGAGGCTGAGGCAGGAGAATCGCTTGAACCTGGGAGGCAGAGGTTGCGGTGAGCCAAGATCATGCCATTGCACTCCAGCTGGGTGAAGAAGCAAGACTCCACCTCAAAAAAAAAAAAAAAAAAAAAAAGAATGGCTGGAACTCACTGTGAGAAATGCACTTTATGGCACCCCACATAACACACATACATATTTATTATAATTGAAATAAAATATTCTCCAAAATACACTTAAGGTGCAAATTACCCTGATGTTTTCTATGTTATCCTATCCCATCCCTTGCCACTCCACTCCACTCTAATATATTTTTGTTACAAAAATGCGAATTATGACCTACCTAAATGACTTTACAACCTACAATTTGAAAAACATTTACTTAATTGGTGGATTTCTCGGGGCTAATCCTAAACTCAGAAAAGGCATTTGCAAAAAAAAAAAAAATCCTACTTTGGTACTAAATGGCTGAGAGTGTGGTAAATTTATTCTCTTGTCTAGACATGAGTCAAGGTGAAAAAGAAAAATCCCAAAGAGTAAGTACCGACCTAGCCCTTGGGCTCAGTGGGCATGGGGCCACACTGATGATAAGTTTAGGGGCCAAGAAAAATGTTTTAATTTCTTTTACAGTCAGAAGGAAAAAAATGAATGTAATCCAACCCATGGATTATATTTGTCTTTTTACCCACACAGTCATAAAATATAGTTTTTGATACTTTATGTAGTGAAAGGGGCCCACAAAGGCAAAAGGACCTAGGACCATGGAAGTCATCATGGGCCCTGCAAAGAGGGAAAGAGGAGCAGTGACAAAGACCATTCTTTTCTGAGGTAGCACAGTGGTTATGAGGATATACCCTAGAGCCAGACTTCCTGGGTTCTGATCCTCACTCTGCCACTTACTGGCTGTATGACTTTGAGCAAGGCATTTAACTTCTCCCTTCCTCAATTCTCTCACTTGTAAAATAGGACTAGTGATAGTAATTATCTTACAGAGTTGTTCTAAAGAGCAAATAATTAAATAAGTGTAAAGCACTTAGAATAATGCCTGACACATAGTGAGTGTTTGTTAGCACGAAGTGGAGAATGAGGTCCATTATGTTTCTCCTTCTGCTTCATGCTTGTTCTATTCCTCCAGGATTCTACCAAAAATTTAAAAAATGATTCGTTTCTGATGACCACATCTTACTCTTTGGAGCAGACCAAATGAGTTACAAATTCAGAAACACTCACAGGAGAAAATTTTCCTGCCGTTATATTTTACCCCTATTCAATCCTTCTTACTTAGACAACACAATGAATATGAGTAGCCCCAAATGAGAAAGGAAGTCACCCCCAGACTTAGAAAGTTAGGAAAATTTACATTAAGAATAGGTCATCCTCTGAGTAAAGTTGAATGAATCAACCTTGAAATACCTCTTACAAATGGCCACGTGGAAATGAGAAAGACCTACTGGAAATTCCAATAGTCCTCTGAACTTAGAGGAAGTGTTGTGTGGGGAGGGAAACAGAAGAAGAGCAGAGAAAGAGATACAGGGAGAAGAAAAGAGGGAGGCAAAGAAAAAGGGGAGGAGAAATAGAACACAACCTTCCAGTTTGGGAGGCCGTACATGTTGGTCAGAAGATCACATCAAAAACCACAGAGGCCAGGTGCGGTGGCTCACGCCTATAATCCCAGCACTTTGGGAGGTGGAGGTGGGTGGATCACCTGAGGTCAGCAGTTCGAGACCAGCCTGCCCAACATGATGAAACCCCATCTCTACTAAAAATACAAAAATTAGCTGGGCGTGAGGGTGCACACCTGTAATCCCAACTACTCGGGAGGCTGAGGCAGGAGAATCACTTGAATCCGGGAGGCGCAAGATGAAGTGAGCTGAGATCGTGCTATTGCACTCCAGCATGGGCAAAAAGAGTGAAACTCCATCTCAAAACAAACAAACAAACAACAGAATCGTAGCTTTCTGAAGACCAGTGGAGCATCTTCTCTTGTCTGAATAATGGACACAAGCGTTCTGTGAATGGATTTGGAGACCTGCTGGTTCCAAAACCCAAGTCTGCTGCTTGTGAGCTGAATCATCTCTCTGAACCTCTGAAACTTGTAACGTGTGGATAACACTTTCTGCCTAATTTTCATTGCTACTTTGAAAACCAAATGTGAAAATGCTTTGCCAACAGCCAAGTGCCATACAAAGGCAAGAAACAGATGTGGTCTGGGTGAATGGGACAGCTTTAGATGTCTAGCTGTGGCAAAACTAAGGCACTAAAATAAAAATGTGAAACATAGACTGATTTCCCCTAAAGTGTTGCCTTTGCCATGGCCAAAAACTCAATACAGCCTAATAGCCCAGAAACACTGACTCCAGCATTTAACAATTTTTACATTTAAGCCATTTCCATGCTTCCACTGTCAACTCTCATCATTATATGAAATGTGGTCTCAGGATATTATGTTCCATTAGTAAGAGAAAAAGTGCTTGAATTTTACAAGTGTTTTTGAGTCACAGACATTTTTAACTTCTTAGTGTGGTCTTGACCTCACTTCATCTTTTTACTTGATAACAGTCATCAAAAAGGCACTTGGCATGAAGCAACTGTAGAAGCAACTGTACTTCCTACTAGGACCATGTGATTTGCCACGTAGGCTGCTAGTCCAACTTAGCCCAAGGCAGACACTCAGCCAAGTAACCAGGGAGCATCCTTCTTTTTCAATCACCTCTCCCTTTTTCTTCACCCTCTCCCTGTTTCCCCAACTGAATGCCCTAATTATTTGTTTTGACATTACAAAAACACAACCCAAGGTTCAAGGCAAACCTTCCTTTCTGAAGTGGGGAGACTTAAAGATCCCCTGTGGATCTGCGGAAGTCTAGGGCTGTTCACTCCCTCCCACTCAAACCATAGAATGACACAGTTCGCACAGCTGTGAAGCCAGCTGCCCTGCATTTCTTCCAGACCTCGCGCCACGCTGCCTTCCAGCAACATCCTTGCTCTAGCTGCTCATGACCCTGGCTGTAATCAGCGAAGAAGCAACTCTTTCAATAACAAAAGTGATTTCTCCCAACAGTTTTGGTGCGGGACCTATAAATGCCTTCCGGGTGTAAGGAGACTTAGTTCTAGAAACAGTTTCTCCAGGTTAAAGTTATTCAATTGGAATAGAAAAGGCAGAAGCAAATTTATGACTGACTGGGTTTTTACGTATTTATTTATGTATTTATTTATTTGGTCTTTGAGTTTTACAGTTTAGAATACCCTCCTAAACTATGAATTTTATTAATTAAAAAAAGCAACATGTTTCAGCCAATTGTCTGGGGCTGGAGCTGTGACGGATAATGCAGACCACACCAAATTTTGGTTAGTCACTGCTTCTCTGTTATCCGTGATTTGTGATTCCACATGATTTTCATGGCTGTATTTTACTGCATTTGACATAAATAACGCTTGTTTAATAGGCTTTGAGCAAGTTAGATGCTTGATACATTATTACAATTGTGAAAAATTTCACAATAGCTAAATCTTTTTTCAAGCTGTAAAATGCCTGAGGTAGTTTTCTTTTAACCTATCACGTAAGAAGTTCATTTTAAATATGAAGGAATAAATCATTAGTGTGGTTTCTGAAATCTTAGCCAAAGATGGTCCCTACACCCCAAATACCACTCTACCCTCACCTCAGAACTCCTCCCTGTGCCATGAAGCAACCAGGCAGCCTTGACAACAATTACTGTAAATGACACTTGGTTTGCTGTCTAGTGGATTAGAAAATTCTTGTTTTTAAAAGTTGATATATATGTTTGCATCTATATAGGTCAGGTCCTTTCAGGTATCTTAAGAACATTTAAATTTCTAGGAATAAAAGATTTGCCCTTGTTTCTCTTGACTGCCAAAATCTGAGTCAAACCACGTCACGACTTGTTTCATAGAACAGCAGTCAGGCTGGGTGCGATGACTCACGCCTGGAATCCCAGCACTTTGGAAGACTGAGGTGGGTGGATCACCTGAGGTTAGGAGTTCGAGACCAGCCTGACCAACGTGGAGAAACCCCGTCTCTACTAAAAATACAAAATTAGCTGGACGTGGTGGCGCATGCCTGTAATCCCAGCTACTTGGGAGCCTGAGGCAGGAGAATCACTTGAACCTGGGAGGCAGAGGTTGCAGTAAGCTAAGATCGTGCCATTGCACTCCAGCCTGGGCAACAAGGTGAAACTCCGTCTCAAAAACAACAACAACAACAACAACAACAACAACAACAACAACAAAACAGCAGCCAAATAAATGACAACATGTATTAAGTCTAAGACCAAGTAAAACCATCCACAAAAATAATACCAGGTCAACACAAAGTAAGCTCAAATCAGCCTTAAACTCACTTCATTGGCCTCTGGGTTACGGCTCATATAATATGATCTGTATGAACAATTTCTGTTGTAAAGCTACCTCATAAAGAAATATATCATCTATGGAGTCCTTTCATAAACCCAATTATACGAACAATTCAGCAGAGTTATAGCTACTGGGATCTGTGTTCTGTCTCCTCCATGGTTCTGCTTATCAAAGACAGTGAAGTGAAAATATTGAGGTGGGAAAGAAACAATGACTGAATTTAGCCAACACAGACAAGGCTGGCATAATTACTCAATCAGGCATAACTTTAGTTCTCTCCTATTGCTGTGTTGCCAGATTCATTTATTATAGATGTTTCATCCTAAGTAAAAGCTGTAAACAGCCCCTTTATACACAAATATGAATGTAATGTCAATATCTCACCAATTTATTTGCACAAAATTATGCATGATTCATTAAAAAATCAACTGGTTATTTAGTTTAAATTTAACCGTCACAGTACTTTGTTAACTAAGACCTTTGGTGGCAAGGGGCAGAAGGAAAATAAGAATAGTGATTAATAAAACATATTATTAATTAATAATTAATAAAAATATATTGTTTGGAAAAAAAGCCCAACTGAGAAATATGTGATTTCTTTTAACCTTATACCAAAGCTCAAAGCAGAAGGTATTCATACCAAATTTGTTGTTCCACACAGAGTTGAAATGGTGACACTAATTTGGAGAAGAAATCACATGTTGTAATGAAAAGGCACAGAAGGGGACCAAGTAGAGAAGTAGATGTTAATGTACAAATGAAAACTTTTCTGCTGCCAAGACTCATCATTCAGAACTAGAAGGAAATGAGAATCTTGCTATGAATACTAGTGCATTGATTCAAGTTTTTAATGCATTTGCTGCACACAAAGTATTGTGGAGCAAATGTGTATTAAAGCTACTATTACTGTGTATTAAGGCTAGTGCAATTTTCTTTCTAGTTGCTGGTTGCCACAGGTCTTTATTCTCTGTCAACCTCTGAAAAGCTCAAATAGAACCCAATAGTCACAATGAATCTTGAGCACAGTCTAGTATCTTTTCAAAATTATAGCTAGTTTCATTTATCTTGTGGTTTTTCTTGGTGACTTAAGAGAAAATAATGATGTTATTTATGTGGGTTCATAAAAACATTATTATTTTTTCCCTGAAGTCCTTCATTTCTGTAAACCTCTTGCTGAGGTTCAATTATTTTTCTCCCCTGAGTGGGAGAACACGGTTTCAAGGCTTAGGTTCTCATAACTTCTTTCATTACTTTCCTGGCCCTGCCTAGGATATGGATAAAATTCCTTATGGTGGTGAAGATTTAGAGGCTGTACAGTCAGGAGCAGATGAAAATAGTGGTGTTCAAAGTAAAAGGTAGAGCTCTAGCCTTCCTTGGGAAGTGGGGCTCCCACCGATTTGCAATCTATCATCATGCATAGAAGGAGAAAATGTCTAGAGGTCATGGATACATATGGGAGCTGCTCTGGTCAGGTAAAGATGAAATGATGGTCTGAGTGCTCTTGGTGGTGCTGGGAAGCATTGCAGTAGCAGAAGAAGAAAAGTGTGGATTGGAGGCACAGACGTGGGTTTGAATTCTGACACTGTTGGGCAATTGTAGACCAAGTTTATTATCTTTCTGAATGGTAGCTGGCTTATTTATGCAATGGAAATACTCATATTTCAGAGTTATTAGAATTTGGTTAAAGGGGGATAGGAAGTGAAGTACCTGGCGTAGTCAATGCTTTATAAGCACCTTTCAAACAACTCAGGCAAGAAGAAGGCTCAGTTTTGTTTATCAACATAAAACCTTGATGTGGTATCACCATGTTAAGGAAAGATGACTTGCTATCTTTTATTTTGACTTATTGCATGAAATATTAATCTAACAAACATTCATCAGAAGCTTGCTATGTACGCAATACAAGTTAACAATTTCATCAACAACTAAATCTATCAGTAGAAATATCAACATCCATGAGAGAGATTTCCTTTCCGAGGCAAGGGACAACATCTGCCTAATTCACCTGTAAATCCTCAGTGGCTAGCAGAGGGCATGGCCTGTAATAGATGCTCAAAGGTTATTTGTTGAATGAAGGAATGCATGAGGGTATTGACCACTTCCCCATGAGTCCATCTTTAGACCAAACTTATTGGATTTCTTTTTCATTATCTAGTAATATCTACAAACATCTTCATATATCTGGTCCTTGATTTATTCTGGCAATTTCTGTATGCAGAAGCTCTAGAGCAAGGAGACAAACCTGTCCCCTCAGAGCTGCCTACAAGCCCGTCAGGCCTCTTAGCATTTCTGTTTCCACTCCTTCAGCCCCTGGAATAATCTAGAGACCTGATGTTCTCTATAGGGTTTGTGTTTAGGTCATATGGAAAGAAAGGGTTATTTTGATTTTTACTCATGTTATATTATGGTTGCAATATCACTTGCAATGATACATACCATTAGCTTTTCCTCATCAATATTCAACTCATGGCCTCCTCCCAAGTGACTTCCTAGACATGAAGAAAAATTTAACATGCAATTCTTGCAAAGAACACTAGATGTTACTTCCCCTGCACTTTAAAAATAAGGATGCCTTTGATTTTGCCAGTTTTGAAAATGCAGAAGTTGAAATGAAGCAGGTACAGCCTGACCATAGTGTGTTTCTCCTCATTGACTCGGAAATTTTTTTCTTTTTGACCTGGACCCTAGGAACTATCATCACTGTGACAAAAATCATGGGTGCCTCCCATTTTATATATTTCTGAAAACGATACCTGAACTTTTAAAAATAAACCTTACTGAAATGGAAATGATGTGCTCCACCTCAGAGGCTGTCCTTCAACTCCATGTCCTGAGAATATAAACTTGGATTAAACGGAATTTTTCTTTCAGTCTGTTGTCATGCTCAGGTTGCCTTACAATTAATTCATAGAAGGAAAATTATTAAGATATTTAAAGAATTGAGCAGAAAGAAAGCTGAGAGATTACCTATTCCAGTGAACACATCTTGCAGGTGAGGAAATTGTGTCCTACAGAACTCTGAGGTCCATAAGAAGAGAAAAACAAAGTGAAAAGGAAAAACCCCCGGAATCTAGAAATTTCATAGTAACTTAGTTCCAGGGGTATGTTGGGCTGACTCTCTAGGTTCATGAGAGCTGACTGTGCATATCTCTTCCCAATTTCAAGATTAGTGACGTCATATTGGTAGCTTGAAATCAGTCATGGAGGCAACACATACACCATGGAAGTCAGCAAAAACAACTATAAATTAGAGGGTTGGTTATTAAACATTTACCAGCACACCAGTGCTCAGTTCACAGAGTCGAGTATGATATTTAATAGACATACTGTCAGCACTATCTAAGTACACATACAAATAGTTTAGGCATGTTTTATTTGCTGCTAAAAATATTGAAAGAAAAGTATCAGAATGGTTTTGCTCAACCAATTTAATGTGGCAACTTAATGTTCAAATGTTTATTTCAAAGGATCTAGAAGCGTGTTGATAGGTAACTTTATTATTGCTTTACTGCTATTTTAATATGGAAAAATCACTATGGCTAAGGTGAAAGACTGTAAGCATGTCTATTGAAAATAGGCTTCCATCTTTAGAATACATATAAATCTATATGATATAGGCATATTCAAACAATTTTTCATAGGAGATATTTTGTCCCCTCACATTGTATTTTGGTCATGTATGAAGATGAAAATGGATTGCCTTTTGCAGTCCATTCAATAATACGTCAGGTGGGTCAGCGTCCCAACATATTACGCAGCATTTCCACATTTCCCAGCTAATGCCACTGTAATACATTAACTCTGTTTGCAATCCAGTTTCAATCAAATAAATGGTGAGTCATTTGAAGTGCCCCCACAGAAGGCTTGCCAGCTGGCAAGGTGCATCTGGAAGCAAGAAGTCAACAACTGTTCAGAATTCCCCCAGCCTTGCTCTCCTCAGCACCATTACTTGACTAGATCAGAACTTTAAGAAAGTCATTATATGTAGGCCTTCCAAAGGAAGCCTCTATAAATCATATTTCAGTTTCTGCAAGACACATGTGTTTTTTAAGCAATGGAGAAAAAGGTTTCCTTCATTCATTTGCTTTCCAAATAGTTGCTAACTTAGAGTAAATGCAGGTGTAGATGAAATGGGGGTTCCAGGTGAGCACCTGACTTGCTGCAAGGAGACATGAGAAATCTCCTTTACACTTTCGTTTTTTAAAAATGTGACTTGATGATGACCATAAAGGACTACCTGTTCATACACCAAGAAACCAGATTAGGGTTTTACATTTATGCACAAAGATGGTGTAGGGTAATACATGAGACTGTTTGCCCTCTTGGTGTGTTTTAAAGCTCTCCAGGACATTTTCGGGCATTCTGACATACAGAGGAAAATGATTCAGGGTGGAAGATCATTGATGAAGAAAATATCCACAGGATGGAGAATTCCAGGAAAAATGACAAGCCAAACTTAAAAGACATTGATAAATCTTGTTTAAGTTACTGTAGCATATTCTACCTGAACAAGTGAATCAAGCAGAAATTTTTAGTGGTACTTGGCTTAAATATTATTGCATAATGGGCTTGGCGTTTTTCTTTGATGTAGAAAGTGAGACCTGGCGCATTAGGATAATTAGGTTTGTCAACTGGGAATTAGAATTACCTGATTTTGACAAGTTTGATATGACTAGGTACAATAACATCTCTCTCTATGGGGACAATCTCTTAGAACACTATCAAATCCTTTTTTTTTTTTTTTTTTTTTTTGAGATGGAGTCTTGCTCCATTGCCCAGGCTGGAGTGCAGTGGCGCGATCTCGGCTCACTGCAAGCTCCGCCTCCGGGGTTCACACCATTCTCCTGCCTCAGCCTCCGGAGAAGCTGGGACTACTGGCACCCGCCACCATGCCCGGCTAATTTTTTGTATTTTTAGTAGAGACGGGGTTTCACCGTGTTAGACAGGATGCTCTCAATCTCCTGACCTCGTGATCCGCCCTCCTCGGCCTCCCAAAGTGCTGGGATTACAGGCGTGAGCCACCGCGCCCGGCCCAAATCCTTTTTAAGAACAGATCCTGGAAGAAACAGTTATCACCATCAAATCCCTGTGGTGTAACAGATCCTGCGAAGAGAGACCTTTAGAATGGAGATTGGATTTTACTTTCCTTAGGGGTTTGGGTGGGTGGATTAGTATGAAGGGGCAACATTTTTTTTCATCTGTAGCTGGGCATTTAGGTTGACTCCATATCTCAGCTATTATGGTTGCCACTGCAGTAAACATGGGGTACAGATATTTATTTCACATATTGGTTTCATTTCTTTGGTATATACCCAGAAGGGGAATGCTGGATCCTATGGTAGTTATATTTTTAATTTTTAAAGGAACCTCCATACTGTTTTCCATAATGGCCCATCTACAGATGAATGGATAAAGAAAATGTGCTATCTACACACACACACACACACACACACACACACACACACACACACACACACACACAATGGAATACTATTGAGCCATAAAACAGAATGAAATCCTGCCATTTGCAGCAAGATGGGCAAACTCGGAGGACATTATATTAAGTGAAATAAACCAGGCACAGAAGACAAGTATCAACATGATCTCACTCATATATAGAGTCTTAAAAAGTTGATTTCATATTAGCAGAGAGTGGAATGGTGGTTACCAGAGGCTGAGGAGCATGGATGAGATGAGGATTGTCAATGGGGAGGACTGGGAGAGGTTGGTCAATCGGTACAGTTACAGTTAAATAGGAGGATATACACAGTAGGGTGACTATAGCAAATAACAATGTATTGTGTATTTTAAGACAGCTGAAAGAGAAGACTTTGAATGTTGTCACCACAAAAAAATAAGTGTTTAAAGTGGTGGGTACGGTAGTTGCCCTGATTTGATCATTCATGCTATGTATACATGCATTGAAACATCACATCTCATAAATATGCACAATTATTATGTGTCAAGTATAAATTTAAATGTTAAATTAAAACATTTTCACCTTCTTTCTCTTTTTGAAAAAGGAATGAATTCCAGTCTTGATTTGAATTGGGGTCTGTGGGTTTTACAGAGTCTAGCCCACTGGGTTTGAATCCCACCTACAGCCTCTCTATGTATGGGACCTTGAGTTAATTGATGAACCCTCTGTGTCTTACTTCTTCTGGGATAAACTGGGGATAATATTGTAATAGCATCTATTTCACAGTTGTGAGGATTATGATAAGGCAATATGAGTAAAGGTCTTAGAACGGTCGTGGGTACATAGTGAGCACTGAGGAAATGTTCACTGGCCCAGTCAGCCCAGGATGCTAATAAGCTTTAGCGACTCAGCACCTGCTGGGAGAAGAGTCACAGACAGACTCGGGCTGAGCAGAGCCAGCTGGCTCAGCTGTGAGATCCCTCTGTGAGGCGATGTTTTTGCATTGCTTCTCCTTCTGTACAGATAGATCTGTGTACAGGCTCAGAGGAAAATCTCTTTAACCCCCCAAGTCGAGCCTTGGCTGAAGCAATTTGTCCCACGCCATAGTTCAGGCTGTGTTTGGGAAGACTCAAATCTCTTTTAGGTAACTCAACTTGGTGGGTAAATCATTTAACTCAGGAGGCACATAAAAGATGTGATATACCAGTGTTTAGTCACTTACAATTCTGTTTGGGATGCTGATGCGATTTGAAATGTCACAGGATGTGGGAAGCAGGGTATGAGTCAGTGAAGACTTCGGGTCCTCTTGCCCTTTCCTTTGGAAAGCCTCCTTGCTGTGCCCTCCCATTATGGGGACTCTTAAACTGATTTTACAATTATTCCAGAGTGGGGATAGCAAGACTAGTACTCCAGGTATTAATACATCTGTTTTTACAACAGTCATCTATTTAGCATCTCCTATGCCCAGACCCTGTGTAGACACTATGGGCACAAAGATAGGTAAGCATGCCCCTCGTTTTTGGGAACATGAGTCTGGCTGGGTAGAGGGATTGTAAACAGATGGTGACATAGTTGAGATACAGACAAAGCATCACTGGGCACAGGAAATGAAGAGGCTGGCCCAGTCTGGGAGAGTGAGGGATCTTTAGACAGGAAGGCACTGAGGTTGGTCCTCAAAGGATGAGTAGGATATTTCCCAGGGATGAAGCCATGTGTGGAGGGACATGGAGGAGGAGCTTCAAGAGTTGAGGGGCATTCTAATCAGAGAAGACAGTCTGCACAAAACTCATTTGGCATTTAAGTCCCCCTGGTTCACAAGATTGTATATGTATTCCTTCAAAAACGTTTACAGATGATCTGCAGTGCACCGAACTGGCCGTGGCAAGACAAAGACATCTCTGCCATTGAGGAGCACCCATGAGAGGAAAGACAGGTGTGGAAGGTGAATGTGATGTAGCATAAGAGCTTGAGCAGCTTCTGTGCTGGGGGGTTAGAGGGAGCGATAGAAAACGGGGAGCCTGCGATAGAAATGCAGAGCCTGGGGACCCAGTGTGGCTTCTTGGTGAAGGCTGTGCTTCAGCAGGGCTTCAGGAAAGAGCAGTTTCTCCCGGAAAGGCAGAGGAGAGAGTGTGTGTAAAGGCATGAGTGCAAATCGCATGCACACATTGCAAAGAACAAGAAAGCTGGTAGGACTGGAACCTGTCGTGGGACCAAGGACATGCAAAGGATGAGACTGGAGAGGGAGCTGGACAAGGCAGGGCCCCAGAGGCTTTTGCTCCAAAAAGCTCATGATAACAACATGAGAAAGATGGATCAGAGCAGCCCGAAACTAGAGGCAGGGAGGTACTGGGTTGATCTTAAATATTTGGCAAGACATGATAAAGGCTTGAGTTAGAGCAGTAATAGGAATGGAAAATTAATTTAGGATTAAGACATTTTTAAGAGGTGAGATACTCAGGACCTAGTAAACAATGACCATGAAGGATTAAGGAGAGGGGTAGATGACCTCTAAGTTTCCACCTTAGGTAGACTAGTGGTTCTACTTACCAGTTCAGAAATCAGAGAAGGGGGCAGATGCTCACAGGACTGGTTAATGAGCTCACACTTACACAGGGGAGTCTTGGGGTGACATCGTTGTGAAGGATTCAAGCAGGCAGTGAATACATGGATTGGGAACTCAGGAGAAATATTCATCCTCACTAAAATCATAAGCAGGTAAGATCTGGGTCAAAGATTCTTGCCCAGTGGATTGAATTGTGTTAAAGTGTGCATCCCTTCAAAGTCTGGATCCGGGATGCTCCAGTAGGACCAGCTCAAGTTCCCACACCAGGGTCTGCCATATACAGTCAGGCTATTGCTTTACCCGACTGTAACTTAAAAATACCACCCTTTCCTATATTTGCCATGACATGGCAAAAAGTTAAGGAAGCTCTATGCTAGGGAAACCATGGAGAGAGATGGAAGGGAATTGGGATCAGACTCCCATGGAACATCAATTTTAAAGGACTGCAGAAAAATAGGAGCCACTACAACTCTGGGGAGGGATAGAAGTTGGACAAGGGCAAGACTGGGGGAAGGGGTGTTCTGGGGAAATGGAAGAAACAGCAGGTTCAAATGCAGCAGAGAGACCAGGGAGACCATGTTCTTGTCCCTTGGCAGAGAGAAAATGGCCAGTGACTCCATCAGATGTTCTTTCAGCCAAGCCGTAGACGCCTAGTTTCAGTGGGTAGAAGAATCAAGAGAGGCGAGAAAGTAGAGGCACTAAAAGTTGATTTCCCATTCCAGGACATTGGCTGTGAGTGAAAGGTGAGAACAAGTGCCCTAGTTAGAGGGAGACAGATGTCAAGAGAGGTTTGATATTGTTTTTCTGTTTTCACAGAGGTGTGGCTAATCTGATTTCCCCACTTAGGTTACATGCTTTCCAAATGAGATCCTGTTTTCTAAGGTTCTGGGCATATTCAGATGCTAATTCAGGATATGCAGGTTCACATATTGATTTTTGTCACAGAATTATTCAAACAGCATTAATTATGTGTGCACCAATTCCAAATGTAATTTCTTGATATGTTTATACATATGTTACATATACATGTTTCATAAGGGGAGAGAACAGATTTGATGATTTTAGATAGCAATAAGGAATCTATTAAAAATATTGAGATTCAATGGACAATTATCCTCTTTCTGTGGAGATTTTCTTTTGCCTAGATTTATTTTAAAGATATTTTGTGCCTACTTTACTCTGCACAATGGCCTTTCTCCTGCATTCATCTGTTAAGTAACATTTTCTCTCCCATAGTACTCAGACCATATGGTCCCCTTCTGCAGTGTTTTTGACTTTTTTTGTGAGATAAATGGTACTTGGGCGTGGATCTCATCATTCTCAAATACTCAGCAAATATACTAATTGAGCTTAAGTGTAAGATCCGCACTTCCGACAACTTATTGATCAAAAATACCACCCTTACCATTGCACTTAAATGGAAAGGTCTATGTTAATTTATATTGCATAAAGCATGCCAAATAAAACATGATAGTCCGTGTTTAAAGTTTCTGTTTGCACTAGGATGTGTCGTTGAATCGCAGACAAGTGTTAGAAGTGATTACAGATCATAACAAATGGACTCTATTTTCAACTCCCATTTTTAATTTAAACTTCTAGCAAATCCAGAAGGATTTCCAGACATTTATATGAAGATACAATATGGATGTGATAATAACAAGACCTTTAAATAAGAAAATATGCCCTTTAAAATAATGAAAGGAATAAAATAATTCTGGTGAATGGATTGAGCACACAGCAGAAGTATCTCTTTTGTAGAAGTGGCAGCCAGTCATTGGTGTTCAATGATTTCTGTTCACATTTTTCTGAAATAAAGTTTTGCACAGGGTTTTTTAAAAAAATGTTTGTATCTCCAGATAAAAAGACTGGTAATTTCAGCTCAATTTTATTTGATGCCAGGATTTCTTAATGGACACGCAATAACTGAAGTTTCACATTTGGGAGTTGCCCCTTGTGTGAACCAAGGGATGTTCACACCCTGCGTCAACTCAATATTTTAACAATAGTGTGACAAATGGTATATTTCCCCAATTAACTTCCAGTTACTGTAACTTATACCATCTAGCCTCACCTGATTCACTAGTGTATTTTTCAGAGTTTAAACAATGTATCGCTTCCCTGAAGGTATAAGAAATGCAATTTTGCTTATTCTGTTACTTAGTTTTAAGTCATACTTGAAAAACACACTTTAAACTATCCCCAATAATCATATGTAATAGAACCAGAAGGCTGTCAGTTAATCTCATGGCCCAATTCTAATATAAAACCTAAGATTTCAAAGATCTCATAATATCTGAGCTGTGAATATTTGCTTCAGGCATCAACTTGGCATTTAAAAAAAAATTTAAAACCACATGGATGTTTCACTTTGCCAGAATATCTACTTCTCATATTACGCTTAAAAATACCAAACTTTGACAAAAATACCTAATATTTTTCCCATTCTACAAGTCAGAAATCACTTCTTGTTTGGTGAGCTCATCTTTTCTTTTTTTCATTTCTAGGGTAGAACATAGTTGTCACTCACTTTGGATTGATTGGTTCATCAATTTGGTAATTAAGATTACTGCCCAGAAAGTATATTCTAAACTCCAACAACAGTTTCCTCTTAGGATTTGAGCTTAAGGGTTTCACTCTGGGAATCTAAAGAGTACATCTGGAAGGAAAAAGAACGAGAGAGTAAGATGGGTACAAATAAAGGTGTTCAACTGGAAGGTCACAGAGTTAATAAAATTTAAAATATTGGTAGTAGTGTTTTGTTCAGATATCATGGATACATAGTTTGTATTGGAAATATTCTTTATTTTAGCCTTTCATATGTTTTTGGTATTAGTAGCTATCTTTGTGTATAATATTCATGATTAATGTTTGCTTAACACTCTACAATTTGTAAAGTGCTCTCAGATCTTGTCTTCTCAACAGCACGGTAAACTCCTTGAAACCTAGAGGCGTGTATTTCATTTCCCCAATACTTCAAAGGAAATATGTTCAAATCAATAATTTGAACATATTTGGCTTTTGTTGTTGTTGTTGTTGTTGTTGTTTTGAGATGGCATTTCGCCCTTGTTGCCCAGGCTGGAGTGCAACGTTGCAATCTTGGCTCACTGCACCCCCCGCCTCCAGGGTTCAAGCAATTCTCCTGCTTCAGCCTCCCAAGTAGCTGGGATTACAGGTGCCCACCACCACACCTGGCTAATTCTTTTGTATTTTTAGTAGAGACAGGGTTTCACCATGTTGGCCAGGCTGGTCTCAAACTCCTGACCTCCTGACCTCCTGATCCACCTGTCTCGTCCACCCAAAGTGCTGGGGTTACAGATGTGAGCCACCGTGCCTGACCATTATTTGAATATATTCAAGGCAATACTTTGTCAAGGCTTTAAGTATCTGTAGGATGTTTAAATGCAGTATCACATCCACAGACACAGACACATTACTTCTGATAGTCAGTTTTCAGGAAAGGGTATAGAAGCAAGAGGTGCGGGCCTTGGTGCCAGATCCAGTTAAGTTTTTAAAAGGCAAAGCCATTTCCAAATAAAGTGAAGTAAGATGTTCCTATGAAGTTCCTGAGTCACTTCTAGAACATGGCTAGAACTGAGGGACCAGAAACATTTTATTTTCTTTCCAAGGACGTGTCCAACTTGTGAAGTGTCCAGGGGATGAGGGTGTCGGGCAGGAGCCTCTCAGGGCCTCACTAGCTGGAGTGTCCTGTGAAGAGGGTGAGCAGGGAAAGTTTCAGTGCCCTTACTGTGTCATCCTTCCAGGATGAACCTAGTCTCCCTTCATCTTTTTGACACATTAATTTATCACTCAGAGACACACATGCTGTACCACATTTTATTCAGTTTTTCAAGTAAAGAGGTCCTTAATACTTGTAACCCTGTGATAAATCAATGTTCTACTCTCAAAAATACCCCTAATGAAATAACACTTCTTATTTTTAAAAGTTAAAATAAATATCTTAATTGTTTTTTAAAAAATATTTATTTAGACAAAGTTGGATCTGGCCATCTGTTGCCACATAGTTAACTAGTAATATAGTAAATACAGTATGAGAACACACATCTGTTTCCACTCACTGAACTCATTAATCGTGTGGCCTAATGTGACTGCACAGTGCCACTCACATTTTAAATTTGTACCATGGTGGCAAAGGCTAATTCTGGGGTATTTCATTTATTTGTGATTGCCAAGAAACAAATGAAAATAAAATTTAATATTGTGCTTTATAAAAAACCCATTGTGGTGGAGAAAATATGCAAATTTATATGAGATACAAAATGGGATGAAATGCAACTGGTACATATGGGAATCTCAGAGCAGGTGGTCTCCTTTTGCTCTAACTCTAGTACATTTTTTAGAAGCTTGGTATTTGAGGATCTCACATTCCAAGAGTCTCTCCTGCCAATAGTTTTGCCTGGAACATACTGTACAACCAGGCTTACCTACCTCCAGGCAGAAGACAAATTATCAACCATTTTCATTGATTCTATGGATGAGAAACCATTCATTAATTATATACATAAATTAATAAAAATAATTACTTTATTTAATAATGATTTATTAAATGCTTACTTTATACCAGGCATTCTGCCAGGAAATGTAAAGATAATGGTGAACGATGTAGTCATGTTCTTTGTTCTAAGAGATCTTCCAGTCTTAAGAGTCCACTCAGTCTGAATGCTTAAGTGATGTTTGAAAATTTAAAGAAATAAACAAACTACTGTCTAAAGATGTTTTCTCTTTAAAACGCATATAATATTTAAGCAAACCTGAGTTTATTTCTGTATCTTTTGGCTTTAAATGGGATATTTTTAAAAATATACAAATCCACATCAGCCTAGAAAGTGCTGATTATGTAGCCAACACTGTCTTTATTTTCCTTTTCCTTGTTGATAGAAGAAAAACATGAGAATTTTTTTCTGTTGTCTTAACACACTCCTCATTACCGTTTACAATTTAATTTGGTCCAAAATAAGAAAATAATCTTTCTACTTGTGCTGAAAAAGCTTACTCTGGAGAGTTGGAATCAGTACTTTCAGCAGCCTCTGGTAAACCAGAAACTTAATCACTCGCAGCAGCTGACCCTCCTGTCCCTGGTGATCTGAATGCCACCATCCTGCAAAGACTTCCACTTGGCTTTGCAGAGCATTCCACAGCCATTGTCATTGGGCAGATGTGAGCTCAGCTTCTAACGGGAACTCAGAAATGCCTTGTGTTGCTTAGAATCAGTTCTAGTACTCCATTTTAATATTTGGAATTTCATGTATCCTAAGTAAAATCCCACTTAACGATTAAGCAGAATGGATGTATTATTTTAAAGTTTGTTTTTATCTTCATTAATCATTTATACGTCTCTTCCCTAACTTAAGAATATAAGAAACCTCAAGTACTAGTTATGTAACCAAATGGATCCTTACGTTCTTCTTACTGCTCACTTATAGATTGAGGAAATAAGATGTTCAATGATAGAATAACATGGAAGAGTCTTAAATTCTTTAGCAAATGTAGAAAACTAGTTAGGACTCTTTACATGATATAGCTTGTTACAAAATACCACCTTTAATACAATCCTTTTTCCATTGAGTCAAAATAATAGTGGTGTATAGAAGGCTCCAACAGCAGTAATTTTCATTCATTTTAAAATACACTCATGTTCAAGGTTAGAAATTTTCAATTGTCCCACAAAAATGTGTGTGGTGTGCCCATAGCATCTATGTTTAATATATCCGTGGATTGCTGGAAATGATGAAGAATTGGGTAATACGCAAACATTTTGTACTTTATTCAATACATCAGCACTTGCATACTTCTGAAGAATTATAGTGTAGACACATTTGAGGTTTATTCAGACTACGGTTTTATATATATATATATATATATTTTTTTAATTTTTATTTTAGGTTCAGGGGTACGTGTGCAGGTTTGTTATATAGGTACATTGTGTGTCACAGGGGTTTGGTGTACAGATTATTTCATCGCCCAGGTAATAAGTGTAGTACCCAATAGGTAGTTTTTCAATCCTCAGCCTCCTCTCAACCTCAGCTCTCAAGTAGGCCCAGGTATCTTTCTTTGTTTCCAGGTGTACTCAGTGTTTAGCTCTTACTTACAAGTGAGAACATGCGTATTTCATTTTCTGTTCTTGAGTTATTTTGCTGAGGATGATGGCCTTCATCTTTATCCATGTTGCTGCAAAGGCCATGACCTCATTCTTTTTTATGGCTGCATAATATTCCATGGTGTATATATACCACCCTTTCTTCTTCTTTTTTTTTTTTTTTTTTTTTTTTGAGACAGAGTCTTGCTCTGTCACCCAGGCTGGAGTACAGTGGTGTGATCTCAGTTCACTGCAACCTATGCCTCCCAGGTTCAAGCAATTCTCCTGCCTCAGCCTCCCAAGAAGCTGGGATTACAGGTGCCTGCCACCGTGCCCGGCTAATTTTTCTATTTTTAGTAGAGACGGGGTTTCGCCATGTTGGTCAGGCTGGTCTCAAACTCCTGACCTCAGGTGATCCACCTGCCTTGGCCTCCCAAAGTGCTGGGATCACAGGCATGAGCCATGGCGCCCAGCCCCACCTTTTCTTTATCTAGACTACAGTTATTAACTGGTATGGGCATATGAATGGGATGACTTCTCTCAGTGACTGTGTTGGCCCCACAGCAGCTCACAAGCTGCAGGTGTGGTGCGGGAGATACAAGGGGAAGTCTCAAGGTTGAGTCAGGTGTGGATCCTTTTAAAAGAAAAAAAAAATGAATTATTGTGTCTCTGGCATTGACTTAATTATTTTTGTTATACACATATGTGACATAACAAACATGTTAAGCATGTACATATACAAACCTGGTTATAAACTGATTCTGAGAGCTCTTGTGAAACCATAAAATCCAAACAAATTAAAATCAAATATAGGCTACAAAATCACTTAAAATCAAGTTAACAAAACTAATTTAATGTGGCAGAAGATGTTGTTTGGCTGAAATTAAATTACTGCTTAAAATGTGAATATGGTACTAGACTGCTGTGGCAACAGTGCTTTTGAGCTCAGCGTGCCTGTATATTTCAAGTTTGGGGTGATAGTTTTCTGGAAGAACACAGGAAAGTCTTCATTTATTCTTTAAATTTACTTGGTGCAAATAAATCATTTATTTATTAAGTCCACTTTTTAATTCTTGCCTGTACTACTTGTTGCTGTTACACACAAAAGGATTGTTTAGTTTATCATCAAAATAAAATCATAAAGGTATTATAAATCAAATCCCTTAGATAATGTGGAGAATCTTAAAAACATGTCCAAGCACTTCCTCTCTCCCATTTCTGATGACCATGGACACCAGTTTGAAAAGAGTACCTTGGAAGATAGTAAAACTTATTATGAACCTGTACTATATGAAAGAGTAGTCTCTATATAATAGCACAAATTTTTGAAATTCAATGCCATAAAACACTTAAATGCAGTTTGATTTTTCTGTATAGTATATTACACGGTCACTACTAACCTACATTGTGCCTTTGTGCAAATTAGAAAAGGGTCCCCCCTCCCCTGCAGACACAGCCCCAAGCCAGGGCTCATGGCTTAAGCCACAGGGGCCAGGCAGGATTTCAGCCCTACTTGCCCTTGGCTCAGTGCCCTCGTGATATGACATCCTGCATAACTGTACATGGAAGACACTTTATATTAAAAAGTCAGAGAAGCGGCCGGGCACGGTGGCTCATGCCTGTAATCCCAGCACTTTGAGAGGCCGAGGCTGGCGGGTCACCTGAGGTCAGGAGTTCGAGACCAGCCTGACCAACATGGAGAAACCCTGTCTCTACTAAAAATACAAAATTAGCTGGGTGTGGTAGCACATGCCTGTAATCCCAGCTACTTGCAAGGCTGAGGCAGGAGAATCGCTTGAACCTGGGAGGCAGAGATTGCGGTGAGCTGAGATCGCGCCATTGCACTCCAGCCTGGGCAACAAGAGCAAAACTCCATCTCAAAAATAAAAAAGTTGGAGAAGCAAATTTCCTCTTTTTTCATTTAATTTTTCAAAAAAAAAGAAATCCAGACTCTCAAATTGACTCATTAGCTCAGTTAAACTTTTTCGTAATGTCATATTTACTTCTGTTAATTAAAGCAAAAGCTTTGGGAAATATTTCCCTTGGGAAAATATTCCTGGTGACCGCTTCTTAAATAAATAAATAAATAAATAAATAACACCTTCTAACCCATTAGTTCCATTTCCACTTATTTCCCTAATTTCATGGCAATCTTCCCATTTTAACCCATTTGGTGTAATTGACCAAGTAATCAAACCCTAATTTCAAGTTTCCTGACCCCTTCTTGATCAGTTTCTGTTTATCGAAACGGCTATTTTCTTGTTATGCCATAGGGTCCAGAAAGAAATATTTTTGGCATCTTCTATGGCAGGGTTGCCCAGCAGCGATGCAGCTATATATACTTACATTCTCATTTGCTTACTATATATATATATGTAGCTTAATTTAAGCAAAGCCCTTTCCGTATAGATAGAGCATCTCAAGTAGGAATATGTGATGGTGAATTATGTAATGCTCTTTTCATGAATATTACTCACTGAGCTTTAAATGCTATTTGGAGGTTATTTCTGAATATGCAAGTCCTTGATGAGGTCCATGTGTGTGCCCACCCTACTCTAGCCTAGAGAAAAGGAAAGAGAAGAGAAATGTATTAAGAACTTGTGGCAGGAAACTGGATGATGCTGGAGGTGGAAGCCAGGAAGTTTAGGAGAATTTAGGGACTCAAGAACCTGATTATATTTTAGTATTATTGTTACTGTTGTTTAAAATTTCAAATCTTTGGCAGGTATGTGCTGAATAAAAGCCCAAATCTAGAAGATAGAGTGGTGGAAACATATATATATATCTTTTCTCTGTGTGTGTGTGTGTGTGTGTGTGTGTGTGTGTGTGTGTCAGAGAGAGAAGCCATTCCATTGTGTGTGCGTGTGCATGTACATACCTAAGTATTCTGCAGACACAGCTTCATATAAAAGAATCAGGGCCTGACATACAGAAACAAGTAATTACTGTTATGCAATTATGAGCTTAAATTGTAAATCCACTCTCCTGTAAACTTCATACACAGCAAAATTATGCAGAGGCAATTTCACTTGGTGGATTAAAGCCATTTATCACAGAGTAAATCTTTGCCAGATCCTTGTGAAAGGAATAGAGCACTAGGGGCTGCCATCTACCTAAAGAATCAAAGCCTAGTACACATCGCTAATACCTCTCTCATTTGCATGCATAATGACCAACTCTGAGCGTAAACAGCGACATGCTCAAACCAGGTGCTTTTGTAAGCTGCCTGCCCTGTATTTGAGGGCATGCATTCAAGCTGCCCGATAGTCACCTGAAAAAGGCATCCAGGTACTGTTTTGGAGTGTGATCCCAAAACTCTAAAAACATACACAAAGCTTAAATGGACAATTTCTGAAATACTAGAGTGCAAACTGACCTCACTCATGCTTCATCTTTGTCAGCCCCTCTGTGCTAGATGGCTTTGGAGGACAGATGAAGTGGGGGAAGGAATGGGGAGAGACATATTAGTGCTTCCTCCTCAGCTCTCCTTTCCTCTCTCTTTCCCCTTCAGCTACCAGAAGAGGCTGCTGAAGGACCTTTTGCACAATTTGGCAGTCATACTATTCTCAGGCAAATTACTAGTAGTCATTTTTGAAAAACTGAAATTCTTCTCAACTCAGGATGCAGAGCCTGCCCATTCCCTGTCACTCCCCACTCTGGTCCTATGGAACATGAAGAATGAAAAATCAATAAATTCTTTAAGTGGTTTTGAGTCCCCACTGTGTTCTGTGCACAGACCTAGAGGCATCCCCTGCTGAGCTTCTCCTTTTGCCCACATGCTGGATCTGGGATGATTCTGGCTTCACTGTGAGTCCCCTGTTCTGTGATAACTTTACAGTACAGAATCCAGACAACTTGTGCACCTGCTGTCAGTGATAAGGTCTGTGATTGCTCCTTCACTACTAAATACTCGTTCCACCCAGGACGTGAATCTCTAGCACTGGAGCCATTTTCAAATCAGTGCCTGTGGTCATAAGGAAGTGTTTGCTGCCCTCAAATGCTTGCAAACTATTTTCCAAATGGGCCTACACGGGCTCTAGGATTTTCCACTTTGAAAGAATATTTTCATTAAGCATGTCCACTGTTAGATAGGCTTTCCACTGGAAAGGAACAGAGGCTCAATGTTGTCATCCTAATCCACGGGGGCTTAATGAAAAGCCTAGCCACAGGGAGGGAGATGCCACATGGCAGAGATCAGCCACTGTCTACACACCTTTAACATCGGCTCCAGGACCCATCACGTCACCATGTTAGAGGCAAGAGTGTTCCCGAATCTTTCCTTTGGTGTTCTGCTTCTGATTGTCTTGACCTCCTCCTGGAGGGAGGGAGGGTGGTAAATGTGTACTCTTCTCTCACTACCAACCGACTGCTTATTTTAAAATTTTCCTTTCAAAATCCCAAGTGAAAGAATGCATTTAGCCACACCATGACACAGTGATGGAGAAGAAGCTGGGAACGTGATGTGACAAGGATCTCTGTCACTCAAACGATGGCCTATCTGGCCAAGTCACCCATCTGACACTCATTCCCGAATGCCCATGGCAGTGGAATTGTGCTGTCTCCTGCCTGGGCTCTGGCCTCTGCTCTGTGCTCCCTCTTGCTCTGTCTGCCATGTTTCTGAGGGGCCTAGAAGCTTCTTGGTCTGGCTCAATGTTTTCAACAAAGAACATTTCCCAGTCCATCAGGGATAAGCTTTAAAAAAATTGAGGCTGAGCTTTTGTATCAAGGCATCTCATAGGTTTCTGGTCAACCCAAGGGTTGGCAGTCAGGTGCCGCTTCTTGATCAAATTCATTAGATCTGAGGGTTTAAAACATGACACGGAACATGACGCCTTACATAGCATACTAGTTCTGGCTACTCTCTTCAGCAGGACAAGCAGGTTGGGCCGGTGTCTAGAAAGGACACATTCGACTTGTCAGTTACCTTAACTGACCCTTCCAGTATAATGTCAGGCCATAAGGAGGCTGTATTCACAGGGACAAGCTGTAATCAGCTTGCATTTCTCATGTTTGCATATAGATATGCAATACTGGGAATATGATTAATGTTTTCCATAGAAATATTGGCTGGAAAATGTAAATTTTCCCACCTAAGCCTTTAAATCTATTATTTTACATTTTATGAGCTTGGATTGTGGTGGCACATGGGATAATTATAGGAAAAGAACTAATAACAACTTACAAGAAATAAAACGAGATGTGTTTAGGCTTTAGGGAATGTTAGATAGAGCTGGATAATGGCCAGCCATAGAATTAAAAAAGAGGACTACTATTAATTAGACAGGCAAAGTAACAGAGAAACAGAAAATATAGGTTCTGGATGGCACCCTGATTACGGGAAATGAGGGGCCATGTAGCTATCAAAAAGAATTATTCAAGTAGACACAGTAATTACCTTATTGCCTATCCTGTTATGAAATATATAGCCACTGGAAACTCAGTTGGGAAATTTAGAGGGGCAAAAAAAGGATAAATATTTGTGTTCAACCTATATTATTCCTGGACTCAAACATTTACCATGTTCAGTTATGAATCTTCCTTGTGAACTATGGCCCCGTATGTTTAGTTTAATCGTGATTTAAGCAAGACAAATGAAACACTTTCAGTTTACATGAGTTAGGAGAACGTCTGAGCTGTTGACAGAAAATGAAAGGCTGTCAACAGCCTGTTGCTTTGCTTGTATATGACTTGCTTAATGTCAGAACCCTGTTTTCAAGTCACAAGTCATCATGTTATATTGTCATCTCCCTGCATCCATTGCCCAGGTAGGTTGCACGAAAGGCACATACTCATTTTGTTGTGCACAGGCACATACTGTGTTTGCTGTGCATCCTAGCAGATGTATAGGAATACACTGACCAGAATCTATATGACGGTCAAATGCCTTTCATTAAAAAAAATTGGATTAATGTTGGTTCAAAGTATAATAACAACATTTAATAACACTCATTTATTAATTTGCTCTTTTAAAGACACATTTCTTTGCTCTTTTGTGCATAGCAATACATGGGGCTCAATGACAGCTGAGGTGCAATGTTTAGGTGACAAGGGCACAAGGAACATGAATGGGCTTCACCTATTCATGGTGGACTCCAAATTAGCAGTTTTCAGCCTCAGGGAGCTTTTGATCAAATTGTGAAGAAAGACAATAATAAAACCACAGCAGCTTCTGTAACAGTTAACCTTTATTGCATGGTAGATATTTTACATATATTTCAAACATTATACAAAAATCTTGGAAATTATTGCCTCCTTTTCACAAAGGAAGAAATTAAAGGTTAGCAGGCTTAAGTGCAAGTAACTAGACATAGCACTCAAATTTAGGTAACTGACTTCAAATCCACATTTTTCTACTATATCATGTTAAATAAATAAAATAGTGAAATAATAAATATCAGCACTGTAGGTAATTGCTGTAGAAATTCAGAGAAAGGGAAGATCAACACAAGAGACCAATTAGTTTTATGCTTGCTTGGTAGACACATGCACTCACACATATACATGATGATATATACATATACACACACATATATCTATACACATACACACATATACATGATGATATGTACATATGCACACACATATCTATACACATATGCACATATACATGATATATGCATGGACATACACATATATCTCTACACCTACATACATACATGATGATATATACATATGCACATATACATATGTATCTATACACATATACTTGATGAATATACATATACCCACAGATATACATATATATCTATACACACATATACATGATGATATATACATATACTCATACATATATATCTTTACACACTCACAGATACATGATACTATATACATGCACACACAGATATACATATATATCTATACACACATATACATGATGACATATACATATACACATACATATATATCTATACAGACTCACAGATACATGATGATATATACATATACACACATATCTATACACATACACATATACATATACACACATATCTATACACATATACCTATACACACATGTCTATACACATATACATATACACACATATATACATATGTATCTAGACACACATATACATGATATGTACATATACACACATATATATCTATACACATATACATGATATATACATACACACTTACATGTATATCTATACACATATATGATGATAAACATGCATATATACATAATGATATATACATATATGTAATGATATATACATACACATCCACACGTGTATATATATGTATTTATAAATATTTTATTTTTATTTTATTTTATTTTTTGAGTTTCGCTCTTGTTGCCCAGGCAGGAGTGCAATGGCACGATCTTGGCTCACCGCAACCTCCACCTCCCGGATTCAAGTGATTCTCCTGCCTCAGCCTCCTGAGTAGCTGGGATTACAGGCATGCACCACCATGCCCAGCTAATTTTTTTAGTAGAGATGGGGTTTCTCCATGTCGATCAGGCTGGTCTCGAACTCCCAACCTCAGATGATCCGCCCACCTCAGCCTCCCAAAGTGCTGGGATTACAGGTGTCAGCCACCGAGCCAGGCCATATTTTATATTATACATATATATTTATACATATATATCTATACACATACACACATATACATATATTATGCTTATATATTTATACACATACATACACACATATACTACAGCAAAAGAAAGAGAAAAGGAAGATTGAACTCCCCATAGGAGTGTATAGTCTAAGAAGAAATGTAGAACATACCTATGTGAAAAATGCAATTCATCAGAGCTGCCATATAGACAAATACTGAACCTCACCAACAATAACTGTCATTGTAGTTTTTATTTTGTATTGTCATAGAAAAGGTGGCTGTATCCACCACCGGTCCAATTTCCACTCCATGGCAGAGCTGTGATGGAAGATAATAAATGGAGGTACATGTATTAGGTTGACACATACGGATAGGCAGAGCTTTTTCCTGTTTTGCTCAGGAAGGAAACCTTAGACATAGTTACGTCTTATGCCTGGATGTCTTGAAGCAACATACTGAAGTAGTGCAAAGGTTGACTAATCCCCACAAACCTGCCAGGCCAGTTGCTGAAGGGAGCAGAAAACCAGAAGGAAAATTCAGATTTCTTCTCTTGTGTTGAAGCAAAAGTAGTTTTGCAATGTGTTGGGTCAAGGCTGTCTGGCATTCCAAAACTAGTTAGAGGTTTCTTAGAAACTGGACATCGTAGAAAATAGATCCTTAAAGCAGGCCCGATCTCCCAGGTAAAAGGTGCCCTCTAACACATTTTGTTAGAACAAACTGTTTTTGCTTTGCTAATATGGCTTATTCATTTGTTTATGTTATATGTACCATATACAATATGTATTACATTACTCACATTATATTCATTATATTATTCATTCATCATAGCTTTATTTATTTATTTAGTGGAGTGTGTCCACTGAATGTACTCACCCTATTGCTGAGATTTATTCTGACTTTCCTCAAGGGAATTCTTTCTTGAAAAGCCGACCTGTCAAATTTCAACGGTTATATTGTGCTAATAACATCATTCTGAGATGTTAAACCCATTAGTCAAAGGGAAAATAAAAACTTCTTCCCCATGCGTTTTCTCCCTCTGCCCTTGGATACTCAAAAATATCAACATAGTGATTAGAAAGACTGCATATTCTTCCCCAGTGAATGGGACCTTTGTAGTAATGGCCTAGCCAGATAGCTTTTTGTGTCTTTAAACATAGTACAATGTTCAATTATAAAGGAATGTAATTGGGTTTCTCATGCTACTCATGAACTGATGGCAACCCCACACCAGGAGCTTCTCTTTTATCTCGTGTTTCTTGCACATTCATGCATGTGTGTGTATACATCCAGCATTACAAATTCATAGCTTTCTAAGATGACTCTTGAATAGGAAAATAATTCTTAATACAAATTCAGATCTTTTGTTAACAATTAATTTCAAAGCTTCAAATATGCAGATTAATACAGTCCAGAGTGGAATGTCAGCCTGAGATTCAGAAATCAGTACTCAAGTAAGAGGAAGCAGAAGGGGAAAAATTGAACTCTCTGAGTTTCTGGAAAGTGCGAATTGTTAATGGTTGTGCCTATGTGCTTCAGGTTTGCTTGTAATCAGAATTAACTGACAGGTTCTTCCCACACTCTTTGAAGAATTTAAGTATCACAGAAGCTAGAGACCTGGAAATTGTTGTTCTAAAGTTGAGTTCAAAATGACAGCTGGTTCAGGCGTACAAGAGCAAAGCTCTTCAAGGTCCATCATCATCAGCCTTGGTAAAAGCAGTCATTTTGTTTGTTTCTTCTACTTCAGAACCACGTAACTGAACCCTTGTGGCAGAGCAAGGCATGCTTGAAACCATAGTCATGTATAAAAATATTCCATCTATAAAATTACATATTTCATAACTCCTGGTTAAATCACTGATAGTAGTGAATTTTGGGAAACAGAGAGCAGCAAGGACACTATGCCCTACCTTCTATTACTGAGGGAAAATTATAAGTTTTGTATAAATTCAGAGAGGCTAGGAAATACACTGTTAAAGCAGGAGCAAAATACTGCCAGGGAAAATATTTCAATCACTGAAGCAATGGAAAGTCAGGACCATTTTCCAACTGACTGAAAAAGAGATGATTTGAATGGAAAGTTCTTATAAAATATTAGAATTGAAGGGAGTTTAGAGAGCACCCCGTCCTTAAACAGCTGGTGAAATTAGGACAATGTGTGAGGCTGGATCAGGGTTGGCTGCTAACCTTTAATGCCAGTCTTTTCCATTGAAAAGGTTGCTGTTTTAAAGTTAGAACTTCTTATTGTTATTTCAG